>NW_003315967.2:0-63917 GCF_000001405.40 Homo sapiens
GATCATTAGTGGCTACTATGAGCAACTCTGTGCCAATAAATTGGAAACTCTAGAAGAAATGGAGAAATTTGTAGATACATACAACCTACCAAGATTGAACTTGTGAGAAATTCAAATCCTGAACAGACCAATAACAAGTAACAAGACCGAAGCTGGAATAAAAAGTCTCCCATTAAAAAAAAAAAAGCCCTGGACCTGACAGCTTTACCTCTGAATTCTACCAGACATTTAAAGAAGAATTAATACCAATCCCACTCAAACTCTTCTCAAAGATAGAGGATGAGGAAATAATTCCAAACTCATCCTATGAGGCCAGTATTATAATATATTAAAACCAGACAAAAGACACATCAGTAAAAGAAAACTACAGGCCAATATCACTCATGAATATTGATGCAAAAATCAACAAAATAGTAGGAAATTGAATGCAACAATACATTAGAAAGATCTTTCATCATGACCAAGTGAGATTTATCCCTGGGATGCAAGGATAGTTCATCATACATAAATCAATCAATGTGATACATTATATCAGCAGAATGAAGAATAAAAACCATAGGATCATTTCAATTGATGCTGAAAAAGAATTTAATAAAATTCAGCATCCCTTCATGATAAAAATTCTCAAAAAAACTGGGAACAGAAGAAACATACTTCAACAACATTAAAGCCGTATATGACAGACCCAAGATAGTATCATACTGAATAGGGAAAAACTGAAAACCTTTCCTCTATGATCTGGTACACAACAAGAATTCCTACCATCGCCACTGTTATTCAGCATAACACTGGAAGTCCTAGCTAGAGCAATCAGACAGGAGAAGGCTATAAAGAACATCCACATTGCAAAGGAAGAAGTCAAATTATCCTTGTTTATAGATGATAGGATCTTATATTTGGAAAAACGTAAATTCTCCACAGGAAAACTACTGGAACTGATAAAAGGAATTTAGCAAAGTTTCAAGATACAAAATATACAAACCAAAATCTGTACTTTTTGTTTTGTTTTTGAGACAGGGTCTTACTCTGTTGCCCAGGCTGGAGTACAGTAGCCATTTTGGCTTACTGCAGCCTTGATTTCCCAGGCTAAAGTGACCCTCACACCACCTTAGCCTCCCAGGCAGCTGAGACTACAGGTGTGCACCACCATACCCAGCTTTTATATATATATGTATTTTTATTTTATTTTATTTTATTTTATTTTATTTTATTTATTTTTCTTTGTAGAGATGAGATTCCACCATGTTGCCCAGGCTGGTCTCAAACTCCTGAGGTCAAGTGATTCACCTGCTGTGGCCTCCCAAAGTGCTAAGATTACAGGTGTGTGCCATCATGCCTGGCCAAAATCTGTACCATTTCTACATGCCAACAGTGAACATTATGAAAGAGAACTAAAGCAATGCAGTCCCATTTACAATAGCCACATGTAAAGTGAAATAGATAGGAATTAACCAAAGGAATAAAACATTTCTATAATGAAAAGTATAAAATACTGATAAAATAAATGTAAGAGGACACTGAAAGGTGGAAAAATAGTCCATGTTCATGGATTGGAAGAATCAGTATTGTTGACATGTTCATACTACCTGAAACAATCTACAGATTTAATGCAATATCTATAAAAATATCAATGACATTCTTCACAGAAATAGAAAAAACAGTCCTAAAATTTATACGGAACAACAAATACCCAGAAAATCCAAAGCTATCCTGAGCAAAAAGAACAAAACTGGGACAATTTTGTTACCTGACTTCAAATTATACTACAGAGCTATAGTAACCAAAACAGCATGGTGCTGACATAAAAACAAACAGATAAGCACATAGACCAATGGAACAGAATAGAGAACCCAGAAGCAAATTTACACACCTAGAGTAAGTCACTCTTGACAAAGGTGCCAAGAACATACACTGGGAAAAGACAGTATCTTCAATAAATTGTCCTAGGAAAACTGGATATCTGTATGCAGAAGAATAAAACTAGACCCCTATCTAACACCATTAAAAAATACAATCAAAATGGATTAAAGACTTAAATCTAAGACCTCAAACTATGAAACTACTACAGGAAAAATTTGGAGAAAATCTCCATGACATTGGTCTGGGCAAAGATTTCTTGAGTTGTGGTCCATAAGCACAGGGAACCAAGGCAAAAATGGAGAAATAGGAAAACATTAAGTTAAAAAGCTTCTGAACAGTAAAGGATATAGTCAACAAAGTGAAGATACAACCCACAGAATGGGAGAAAATATTTGCAAATTCCCAATCTGACAAGGAATTAACAACCAGAAAATATATGAAGCACAAACAACTCTATAGGAAAAAAAAATTTAATAATGAAAATTAAGCAAAAGATTTGAATAGGCATTTCCAAAAGAAGACATACAAATGGCAAACAGGCATATGAAAAAACGCTTAAGGTTATTGATTATCACAGAAATGCAAATCAAAACTACAATGAGATATCATCTCACCCCAGTTAAAATGACTGTTATTCAAAAGACAGGCAATAACAAATGTTGACGAGGATGTGGAGTAAATGGAACCCTTGTACACCATTGTTGGGGTTGTAAATGAGTATAATCACTATGGAGAGCAGTTTGGAGGTTTCTCAGAAAACTGAAAATTGAGTTACCACCTGATGCAGCAATCCCACTGCTGGGTATATGCCCAAAAGAAAGGAAATCAGTGTATTGAAGAGATATCTACACTCCTGTGTTTTTTGCAGTACTGTCTACAAAGGCTATGATTTGGAAGCAACCTCAGTGTCTATCAACAGATGAATGAATAAAAACAATGAAGTAATATTCAGCCATAAAAATAGAATGATATCCAGTCATTTGCAACGACTTCAATGGAACTGGAGACCATTATGTTAAGTGAAATCAGTTAGGCACAGAAAGAGAAACATTGCATGTTCTGACTTATCTGTGGTATGTAAAAATCAAAACAGTTAAACTCATGGACATAGAGAGTAGTAGAAGGATGGGTTACCAGAAGCTGGGAAGGGTAGTGGGGGGTTGGAGGAGAGGTGGGGATGGTTAATGGGTACAAAAAAATAGTGAGAAAGAATGAATAAGAACTACAATTTGATAGCACAAAAGGGTGACTATAGTCAATAAGACCTTAATTGTACATTTTAAAATAACTTAAAGAGTATATTTGGATTGTTTGTAACTCAAAAGATAAATGCTTGAGAAGATGAATGCCCCATTTGCCATGATGTGTTTATTTCACATTGCATGCCTGTATCAAAACATCTCATATAACCCATAAATATATACACCTACTGTGTACCCACAAAAATTTTTTAAAAATCACTGGTACCGGTAAATAAATCATCAAATAAAGAACACTGTAATACTGTAATGATGGAGTGTAGATCAATTTTATCTCCAATATAAGATTAGAAGATGAAACTACTAGAAATGACCATAGCTGCAATAATTTGGTAAGGGATACATAACATAAAAAATGTAAATTTTAACATAATAAATATAAAGTATGAAAGGAGATTAAAAGTATAGAGTTTATGTGATTGAACTTATTACCAGCATAAAATAGACTGTTATAACTATAAAATGTTTTATGCAAGCCTCATGGTAACCACAAAAAAAAAAACAACTAAAGTAGATATACAAATGATTAAGGAAAAGGATTACAAAAATAGCAACACATGAAATCATCAAATCACAAAGAAATATAGCAGGAGAGGAAGAAACAAAGTATATACAAAGCAACAAGACACAATTAACAAGTGACAGCAGTAAGTTCTTACCAACTGATAATTACCTTATATGTAAATTGATTGAATTATCCAACAAAACACAGAATGACCAAATGGTTTAAATAAAAACACACCCAACTGTACGCTTCCTACAAGAGATTTACTTTAATCTTAAAGACATACGTAGGCTCAATGTTAAGGTATGGAAAAATATATTTCATGAAAAATGATAACCAAAAGGTGGCTATAATTACATTAGACAAAATAGACTTTAAGTTAAAAACTGTCACAAGAGACAAAGAAGAACATTATATGATAATAAAGGTGTCAATTCATCAAGAGGATATAACAATTGTAAATAAATATGCCCCCATAAGTGGAGCACCTGAATATATAAAGCAAATCTTAACAGATCTGAAGGAAGAAATAGACAGCAATGCAATGACAGTAGGGGACTTCAATATCTTACTATCAACAATGGATAGATCACCCAGACAGAAAATCAATAAGGGAATATTGGACTTGACATACAGTTTAGAAAAATTGGACATAATAGAGGTATACCACACCTTCCACCCGATATTAGCAGAATGCACATTCTTCTCAAGCACACATGAAACATTCTCCAGGATAGACATGTTAGCCACAAAACAAATGTTAGCAAATTTGTTTTTTAAAGAAGAAATTTAAGAAGATTGAAGTCATGTCAAGTGTCTTTTCTGACCATATTGGTATGTAACTGAAATCAGTAACAAGAGGAAAACTAGAAAATTCACTGTATCAGTCCCTTTTCACACTGCTATAAAGATACTACCTGAGACTGTGTAATTTATAAATAAAGAGGGTTTAACTGACTTACAGTTCTACATGGCTGGGGAGGCCTCAGGAAACTTACAACAATAGCAGAAGGGAAAGCAGGCATGTCTTACATGGTGGCAGGCAAGAGCAAAAGAGCACAGAGAAAACTGCCACTTATAAAACCATCAGATCTAGTGAGAACTTACTGTCATGAGAACAACCTGGAGGAAACCACCCCCATGATCAAATCATCTTCCATCACTTCCCTCCCCTGACATGTGGGAATTATAATTCAGATTATAATTCCAGATAAGATTTGGGTGGGGACACAGCCAGACCATATCATTCACAAATATGTGGGGATTAAACAGCATGCTTCTGAACAACCAATGGTTCAAAGATGAAATAGAAAGGAAAATTTGTAGAACTTATGAGACAAAAAAAGATGAAAACACAACATACCAAAAACCTAGGAGATGCAGCAAAAGCAGTTCTGAGAGGGAAGTTTATAACAGTAATTGTCTACATTAAGAAGTAGGAACATCTAGGCCAGGCGTGGTGGCTCACGCCTATAATCCTAACACTTTGGGAGGCCGAGGTGGGCGGATCACGAGGTGAGATCAAGACCATCCTGACCAACATGGTGAAACCCTTTCTCTACCAAAAATACAAAACAAAAACTTAGCCAGGCGTGGTGGCACGCGTCTGTAGTCCCAGCTACTCAGGAGGCTGAGGCAGGAGAATCGCTTGAACCTGGGAGGCGGAAGTTGCAGTGAGCGAACATAGCGCCACTGCACTGCAGCCTGGGCGACAGAGCAAGAATCCATCTCAAAAGAAAAAAGGAAAGAAAAGTAAGATTTGGAAAAACCTAATGTTATACCTCAAGGAACTAGAAGAAGAAGAACAAACTAAACTTAAAGTAAGCATGAAAAAGAAAATAATAGCTATCAGAGCAAAAGTAAACCAAAAGAATATAGAAATAGAAAAATCAATAAAACTAAGAGTTGATTTATTGAACAAATAAAATATATACATACCGTTCTGGACTAAGCCAAAAAAAAAAAAAAGGGAGAAGACTAAATAAATAGAATCAGAAATGAATGTGAAGACATTATAATAGATGCCTTAGAAATAAGGATAATTAGAGACAAATATGAGCAATTAATTATATGCCATTAAATTGGATAATCTGCAGAAAAAAATAAATTTGTATAAACATACAACCCACCAAAACTGAATCAGGAAAATAATGAGAGCCTAAACAGAGTAATAGCAAATAAAGAGATTGATGTGGTAATTAAAAACCTTCCAACAAAGAAAATTCCTGAATCAGATGGCGTAATGGCTGAATTCTAGCAAACATTGAAAAAATTAATATCAGTTCTTCTCAAACTCTTTCAAAAAATATATAACTTGAGGGAATACTTTCAAACTCATTTTATGAGGCCAGCATTATCCTTATATTAAAGTCAGACAAAAGCGCTACAAGAAAAAAAAAGCTTACAAGTCAATATCTCTGATGACCACAGTTGCAAAAATCCTCAGTAAAATCGTAGCAAACCAAATTCAACAACATATTGAAAAGATTATACATTATGACCAAGTGGGATTTATCCCTGGTATCTAAGATTGGTTTAACATATTCAAATCAATCAATGCGATATCTCACATTAACAGAATGGAAGACAAAACTCATAAGATTATTTTAGTAGATGCAGAAAAAGCATTCGACAAAGTTCGACATCCTTTCTTGATAAAAACTCTCAACAAATACTACCAAGAGCAATCGGACAAGAAAAAGAAATGGAAGATATCCAGATTGGAAAAGAAGTAAAATTATTCTATCTGCAGATGACATGATCCTATATGTTGAAAAACCTAAGGGACACACACACACACACACACAGACACTTAAAACAGATGAATTCAGTAAATTTACAGGATACAAAATTGACATTCAAAAATGAGTTACATTTCTTTATACCAGTAATGATCTATCAGAAAAACAAATAAAAAAGATAAAGATAATCCCTTTTACTATAGAATCAAAAAGAATAAAATACTTAGAAATAAGTTTAATCAAAAAGATGGAAAATCTGTACACTGAAAGCTATTAAACACTAATGAAAGAAATTAAAGACACAAATACATGGAAAGCTATCTCATGTTCATGGGCTGAAAGAATTAATTCTGTTAAAATGTCCACATTACCCAAAGAACTATAGTTATCCTCAATATCCATGGGGGATTGGTTCCAGGACACCCCGTGTGGATAACAAAATCTCTGGATTCTCAAGTCCCTTTTATAAAATGTAGTAGTATTTCACATAACCTACACACCTTTTTTAATATTTTAACTCATTTCTAGATTCCTTATAATATCTAATACAATGTAAATGACATGAAAATAGTATAGTTGTTATACTGTATTTTTAAAATGTCTTATTTTTTAATGTATTTTCTTCTGAATATTTTTTGATCTGTGGTTGGTTGAATCTTCAAGTACAGAACCCATAGATACAGTGGGCTGACTATATACAGATTCAATGCAATGCGTATCAAAATTCCAATGGCATTCTTCACCTAAATAGAAAAATTTGTATGGAACCACCAAAGACCCCAAATAGCCAAAGCAATGTTGAGAAAGAAAAACAAAGTTGGAAGAACTAGATTTTCTGACCTGAAATTCTATTAATAAGCTATAATAAAAAGAGTATGCTACTTGTATAAAAGCCCATACACAGGCCAATGGAGTAGAATAGAGAACCCAGAAATAAACCCAAGCATATATGGTCAACAAATTTTTAACAAGGGCACCAAGAAGATACAATGAGGAAAGAACAATATTTTCCACAAATGGTGCTGGGACAACTGGATATTCACGTGTAAAAGACTGAAATTGGACACTTATTTTAAACCATACAAAAAAAAAACACACTCAAAATGGATTAAAGACTTAAACATAAGACTGTAAACTGCAAAACTCCAAGAAAAACACATAAGGAAAAAGCTTCTTGACATCTGTCTTGTCAATAAGTTTTTAGATATCACAGCAAAAGCTCAGGCAACAAAAACAAAAATAAACCAGTGGGATTAAGCAAAAACAGACAAATGGGACTACATCAAACTAAAAATATTCTGCACAGCAAAGGAAATAATCAACAAAATGAAAAAGCCTATAGATTGGGGAAAATATTTGCAAACTGTATATCTGATGAAGGGTTAATATGCAAAATCTGTAAGGAGTTCACACAACTCAATAGCAAAAAACAAGTAATCTAATTAAAATTTGGTAAAGTACCCCAATAGGCATTTCTCCAAAGAAGATGTAAAAATGTCCACCAGGCATATGAAAAGGTGCTCAACATAACTAATCATCGGGGAAATGTAAATCAAAATCACAATGAGATACTGTGTCACACCTGTTACAATGGTTATATCAAGAAGACAAGAGAAGTGTTGACAAGGGTGTGGAGGAAAAGGGAGCTTTTTTATACTGTTGGTGGGAAGGCAAATTGGAACAGCCATTATAGAAGACAGAGTGGAGTTTCCTCAAAAAATTAGAAGTAGAACTACCCTATGACCCAGCAATTCCTCTTTTGGGTATACATCTAAAAAAATTAAAACAATATGTTGAAGGGATACCTGCATCTCCATGTTTGTTGCAGCTTTATTCACAATAGATAAAATATAGAAACAATCCAACTGTCTGTCCATAGATGAATAGATAAAGAAAATATATAGGCATATATGTATGTGTGTGTATTTCATACATATATAAAATACACATATATATGAATATTATTCAATCTTAAAGAAGGAGATTCAGCCAATTGTAACAGCATGGATGAAGTTGGAGAATATTATGCTAAGTGAAACAAGCCAGACATAGAAAGAAAAATAGTACATGGTTTCACTTACATCTAGAATTTAAAAAGAGTTGAATACATAGAAACAGAATTGAATAGTGGTTATCAGAGGCTGAAGGATGGGGAAAAAATGAGGAGATGTCAGTCAAAGGGTTTCAGTGTTGCAGTATCTCAGAATGTAACTGTATTTGGCTACAGGCCTTTGAATAGATGATTAAGTTAAATAAGGCTGTTAGGGTGGTCCCTAATTCAATCTGACCAGTGCCCTTGTAATAAGAGGGAATTTGGACACATAAAGAGACACCAGGAATGCACAAGCACAGAGTAAAGTCCATGTAATGGCACAGTGAAAAGGTGACCATCTCAAGCCAAGGAGAGAGGACTCTTTTGGCCTCAGAAGAAACCAAACTTGCTAATCTCTTAATCTTGGACTTCTAGTCTTTAGGGTGATGAGAAACTATATCTCTGTTGTTTAATCCACCAGTCTGTGGTATTTTGTTATGGCAGCCATAGCAAACTATTAGTTAGACAAGAACACTGCTAATGTCTTTTCTAGACCTAAAATTCTACTGTTGTTTTTAAAAGATTGCTGCTGTTTTCTTGAGAGTCAAAAGTAAATGCAGATAATTCCCATTATCCTGGTGTGGTCTTAAGGAAATTTTTAGTGTTCTCATTATCTTTCTTCCTTTATTTCTAGATACTTACTATAAGTTTTCTAGTAGCAAGATTGGAATCCCATCAGTTGACAGTGTATGAGCCTAATATTATACATTGTAAATCATTCTCACTAGCATTTTGTGTATACTTATTAATATATTTGTTATTTCAATTCAGAATCATTGCTTAAGTTTTCTGATCTTTATAGTTTCTCTGATTATCCTCTGATTGATAAAGTCTTTATGATTAAACTCTTCAGACATTACCATTTTGTTTCTACAATGTCGATATCTTCATGTTTCCAGTATCTTCACTATCAGATCCTTGCCATATCATCCTTTTCACATAATTATGATAAATTATAAAAATCTCACTGTATTTGGTATTATTGTAAGTTAAATGATATGTTCAGGATTTGCAAAGGTATATTGCACATTTTCATGATGTCACAAAAAACTAATGATAACCAGGACTCCTTAGATAAATGATTAATTCTAAAACTGAGGCAGAAAATGTACAAGCTGAGCCCGGACCATTTTTTAGTGCAGAAAGCAAATAAATGCTTACAAACAAACAAACAAAACCCATATTGATGTAGGTGTGTCGAAGGGACACAGGAGTCAACTGAAAGCGCTCCCAATGGCCAAAGGTGGAATAAGTTGAGCAAGAAAATAAAGTAGTACAGGATAAAATTTCAAAGTATAACATGCATATCCATGAGTCCATATTGATATAATAATATCAATATCATAAATGATTGAATAAATAAGTAATTAGGAGAGAATGGACACATCTCCCATATAGAAGAATTCCAAATAATTTATGTAAACACTCCACTCTCATGGAGGGGGTAGACATAATGACTTCCCTCCAACAGTGCAGTATGGAAAGTGATGGAGGGAATGAGTAACTTTACGGTGAAGAAGACTGATGAAGCTAACTGAGCGTGATTATCAATGTCAACATTAATAGTCATAACTCATGTTGATAGTATGTACCCTTGACACGCTGTCACAAAAATAGCACTTTATTTCTGTAATATTCCTTTCCCCCAAGCCCAATAACCTCAGTATAATCATGAGAAGAACATCAAACAAATTCCAGTGGAGGGACATCCCACAAAATACTTTACTCCTCAAAAGTGTTCAGATCATCAAGTAAAAACAAAATCTAGGAAACTGTCACAGGCATCAGGAGCCTAAGGAGACAGACATAATAGCTGAATGCAATGTGGCATCCTGAATGAGTTCCTGGAATAGGAAAAGGATATTAGGTAAAAACCAAGGAAATCTGAACAAATTATGGACTTCGATAAATGAATAACAATGCATCTGTATTGGTTCATTAATCATAACAAGTGTACCATATTACAAACAGGAAAAACTGAGCCTGGAGTACATGGAAACTCTGTGTACTATTTTGCAAAATTTTCTGTAAATCTAAACCTGTTTTAGAAAATAAAGTTTATTTTTAAAAAAAATGAAATCAGACTTCAGAACTTCTCGGCTATTTTGAGCTTAGTGCTGGTAACATAAAAAAAGGTTTAAACTATCTTTAAAACTTCGTGAGGGATGATATGAACATATAACTAGGCATTTCTACTAGCTTTTCAAATAAAATTAACTTAGTTTTGGCTTACAAAAAGATTATGATGAAGCCTACTCTAATTTCCCATACATCGCAAAGCTTTTTCCTTAAATATTAAGTTTTGAAGAAATGTAATTTAGTAGGACATTTTTGTAACTTTTTTTTTTTTTTGGTATTTTTAGTACACATGGGGTTTCACCGTGTTAGCCAGGATGGTCTCAATCTCCTGACCTTGTGATCCACCCACCTTGGCCTCCCAAAGTGCTGGGATTACAGGCATAAGCCACTGCGCCCGGCCATACAACCTTTTAAGTTTGAAAATTGCCTTTACAAATGTGTCATAGTTACCATTAATTCTCACTTCGTAGATAGGGTAGCTAGTACACAGATGTGCTTAGTGTCCAAAGCTAATAAGACAGAATCAAGACCTGATCCCAATCATCAGACTCCTAGTTGAAGTTTCTTTTCACCACACCAGTGGTCTCCAAACATTTTTATTGCACAAACTTATCAGTAAAATATTGTGAGAAGCAACCACAGTATATGAATATGTGTTTATAAATTATATGCATTTATATCTAAATTATTTTGGGTAAACTATAAAGCATACCTCAAAGTAAGTATTAAGATGATTCAATTACAAATTTATACAAACTGAATTTTTATTTTTTTCATGCACCAGATGTTTATTTGTGCAGCCCTCTTTGTAAACTACTGCTCCAATTATTTATTGATGTGTAACAAACCATCTCAAAACACATTATTTTGTGGCAAAAAAAGCCCACTTATTATTATCTCTCATGGGCCTGGGGTTGACTGGGCTCAGCAGGGTGGTTGTTACTTAGGGCCTCTCATATGGTTGCTGTCAGATGGTGACTGGGGCCTGAATCATTTGGCTTGCTTACTCACCTATTACACCTGGGCTGGGGAGACCCACATAACAAAAGAACTGAGGGTCCTCGTGTGTTTGTGTGTGTGTGTGTGTGTGTGTGTGTGTGTGTAAGTGCATGAATGTATGTATGTGTAAGAGTGTGTGTGTGTGTGTGTGTGTGTGTGTATTCTGTTTCCCTCCAGCATGATGGCTTTAGGGTCACTGGACTCAGAGCTCCACGGCATATGTTCTGGAAGAGGCAGAACCAGAACATTTATTTTTCTCTTTTTCTGACCTAGACTATAAATTTATGCAGCCTCACTATTGATTATTTAAAAGAGTCACTAAGATCTGTACATACCCAAGGCAGGGGTGGACTTAGACTCTACTTCTTGATGAAAGCAATGTCAAAGAACTTGCTGACATGTTTTTAAATCACCCAAAGCAGAAAGTCTGAACTCTGGTAATTTTATTTTATGAGATAAATTCTTAATAATCCATTGGTGCAGAGAAAGAAATAAAGTAGCACCCCGTGCTTCTCACAGCTGCCTTTTTGTGGCTATTCTCATAAATAATTCTACTGATACTCTCCTTTTCTGTAATTGATTAAAGAGATGCTCGTTCCCAGATAAATTAAAACTCTTTCCTTCTCATCAAAGCCTAGAGCAGCTTTGCTGGGACTTTGCTCCTTCAGCCTAAAGCTGTGTCCACCCTGACAGGAGATCAGTATTTTTGCAAGAAAGGCTGCTAATATAGTAGGGTTTTTGTTTGTTTGTTTGCTTGTTTTTTTTTTTTTTTTTTTTTTTTTTTTTTGTATTCTGCTCTTTCATTGTGCTTTAATGTAAATTACTGGTATTTCACTAGTTGTACTGAGCACTTTTTTGCCTCCTTGGTATCAAACCCAATATATTAGTCTTTGGATTACATTTGCCCTCTGCAAAACCAGTGACTAAGAGCTAAAGAGCAGACATAGGCCAAGAATGGTGGCTCACGCCTATAATCCTAGCACTTTGGGAGGCTGAGGTGGGGGGATCACTTGAAGTCAGGAGTTCAAGACCAGGCTGACCAACATGGTGAAACCCTGTCTCTACTAAAAATACAAAAATTAGCTGGAAATCACATGAACCCACGTGGCGGAGGTTACCAGTATTGCACCACTGCACTCCAACCTGGCTGACAGAGCAAGACTCCATCTAAAAAAAAAAAAAAAAAAAAACGGAGAACGATCAGTGCCATTGCCATCTGACTTATAAGCATAATTCCATCTCAAACAGTGCTCCTCTTCAATGAAAACAAACTAAATGCACCTTGTGCCAAAGTGTAGTGATGTGCCCCTCTTGTTAGTGTACATGCTGAAGACAGTATCTGTTTTTCCCACTGTAGCTCTATTTTTTACCCTACCTTGGAATTATGCTATTAACTTTTCTATTCTCTTTGATTATAATAGGATTCTGATAACTTTAAAACTCAAAATAGTCTCACTTTAGTAATAGATTCAACCTAGTGTATTCACATGAACTCTTATTTTATATAGAGCAAAATAACTTGTTCAGCTCTGGATTGCTACAGCCTGGAAGCCACATTATGAATGGGATGAAAGATTTGTCTTTGTATTTTTATCTCTTTCTCTGTTTTGAGCTTTGCTACCTCCTGCCTGAGGTTATCTCTGGATCTTCGAGGGTTGGAGATAATGGGAAAGAAAGCAAGGATAAATGTTTATATATATTACACTTTTCAGATTTGAGGACACGAGTGTTGTTACCTTTCTCCTCCTACTCACTTTACAGTTCTCATTCTCAAATCTTTCTGACCGTTTTCAAACTCAGAAATTCCAGTATGGGGAATTTGTACATTGAAGGGTTTAAGGAAGCAGAACTTCTAGGCCATGTGGATGTGGTGCACTCTAAGTACCTGCGGGTTTAGATAAACCTAAGAAGGAAAGAAAGCACAGGGTACATGAGTTTTGATCTCTGATACATTAGAGTCTTGAGAACAAGAATGATGAAGGATCAAGAGAGCCAATGGATAAGACTGGAGGAAAGGAAGCAGTGGGCAGGAATAGTGGAGCTTGAGCAGGTGGGCCCCGGGTGCTGAAGCCTGGAAGGATGGGTGCTGCCTGGACCCACAATGTTCTGTCAATCAGCTTCAGACTCCCTCAGTCACTGCCATAGTCCAGTCAGACTCCTATTTGTTCTCTCTTTCATTCAAGAGAAAAGATCATGGAATGCAATGAGAATTCATAATTGTATTTAAGTTTCATATGATGCCTAAAATTAATTTTATGAGAGACAAAAATATTTTAAACAATTAGAAACAAGGCTTAAATGAAAATTCCTCAAACTCTTAAAATGATTGAATGTATTCACACTAAAGAGTGAATGATTAATATAAAAATCCATCTTTGAAATGATGGCAGAAGGAGAGAAAGACCACTGGACTCCTGATGGGTAGTAGGGTGACAATACCTAATATTCAGATTTGAGATGGCACAAAGATGTTTAAGGAAACCAAGACTTTCTCTCTCTCTTTCTCTTCTTTTTTAAACCACAAACACCTTTGGATAAGTAAAAGCTTTTTCGCAGATATATGACATTTTACATGGGCCATGTCCCAAATGTTCTGTCTCAAAGTACACAGAAAATGACTTAAAAGGGGCATGGGAGCCAGATTCCCTGTGGACAGTAATTCTAATTCTGAAGAACACATGCAGTTGCTCAACAACGCTGCTGGATTGAGAAATGAGGTCTTGAGAATTACCAAAGAAGTGCTTTCAAGATAATAAAGCTTTGCAGTGTTCCATCGCCTGCAGAGGAACAGCAGGACAGACGGTTTTTCCCTCTAAAAGGGCTAAACTTCTGAAACCTTACAATGATGGAACTGAAGCTTTGGAGTTGTTTTAAGTAAATACAGAAAAAAAAAAAAAAAAAAATTCTGTCACAGTTCACATCACTTCAGGATTGACATTACCTGCTTTTATTTATTTTTTACTTCGTTTTGGTGATGCTGGTAGAATAGATGTCACTTGAGAGGTCAAGTCTTCAAAACAGGAGGAAAGCAGAGAGGTGAAGCAACTATGTGGAAAATTCAGGGAGATTTGCTGCTCATGCGTACATTAGCCTAGACATTTCTTTGAAGAAGCTGCTAGGTTAAGGAAATGCCAGTGTTAAGAAACTGCTTTTGAAATAACTTTTTGAAATAATGCATTGCTTACGTGGGATTCTTTCACCTCCAGAGTTTTTATGACTAGTGGATCCCTTATTATTTGTCATTTTATGAAAGAATTTCAATAACTGCACATTAGCTGTTTATCTAAACTTCCAACCTTTTCTTTTTAGCTTTTGGCCAGGCCTTTTCCAGTATTTACTTATTTTATGGAAAAACCAAACTTTATCACTAGACACAAAATTTAAGTGAGCGTTGTCTGTCCCTTGAGCTCACCCACCTTTCTCATCAGCCCTGCTCTTGGTGATCCTCTTGCCTCAGTCCGCTTTGGCCCCTACATCCTGGCACCAGTGTCATCATGGGTGCTCTTCTCAAATAGCTTTATTGTATTCTCTCTCTCAGTAAAGATACAGGAAATGGTGGCATTCTTTTTTTTTTGAGATGAAGTCTGGCTCTGTCTCCCAGGCTGGAGTGCAGTGGCGCGATCTCGCTCACTGCAAGCTCCGCCTTCCGGGTTCACGCCATTCTCCTGCCTCAGCCTCCCGAGTAGCTGGGACTACAGGTGCCCGCCACCATGCCTGGCCAATTTTTTGTATTTTTATTAGAGAGAGGGTTTCACCGTGTTAGCCAGGATGGTCTGGATCTCCTGACCTCGTGATCCGCCCGCCTCGGCCTCCCAAAGTGCTGGGATAACAGGCGTGAGCCACCGCGCCCGGTCGAAATGGTGGCATTCTTTTACGTTGGCATGAGATAGGAATGTTTATATTTAATTTGTGAACCCCAAAATGTGATCTTGAAGCAAAGATTGATAGCAATGGAAGTAGCAGGTGAAATCACCTGCTGGAGCTCTACCTGATGCCCCTTCAACTAATGCACCATAAAAATTCTCATCCTCTTCTTAGTCAGATCTAGAGGGAAACCCACTTCACTACGTTGTCTGAATGTGACTTGCAGTGAACTAAAAAAAATATGAAATTCTCATCCTTCGTTTAAGATAAGTTCCTCATTGAAAAGAACTAGGAAATAGTATATCAATCTTCAATCATTTGAACAAAATGTTCATGATGGTAAATAGGAGGTCTTCTTGAATCATCCCGATAACTTCTTCAGGATTCCACTTCTTGTTATGATGACTGGGCATCTCACATTGCATCTGTTTTGAGATTGTCACCAAACTAAATAGGCATGAGAACGACTATAGTAGAGGGAAGCAAATTCTTTGTGTTAACAGTTGTTACCTGTTTTGCTAAAATCAGTAGCAGAAGGATTGTGATGAGGTTATTTAACTGGACAGTGAATAGGTCTCATTAGGCTAGAATTTTGTAAGGGGTTCTGCTTACTTGGTTTTACTTCCTTTGGCCAATAGATTAGTGATTCTAATAGCCAGCAATGGTCTACCTGATCTGGGTAGCTACCTAGAAATATGATTGCAGAGATTCTTTAACTTAAGATTTTACAATATTATACAAATATATTTCTGTGAATAACTGAGTCCACATTTTCTATATACAGTTTTTTATTACATGCAAAAATTTTAAATCACTCATAATCTCAGCATTTTTAACCACTAAAAAATTAGTTTACCTACTTTCATTCTCCTTCAACTCCACATCACTGTAATCACTGTAAATTATTTTATGAGTATATATTTCCTGGGTTTTAATTTTATTTTGTTTTAAATTGACAGGTAATAATTGTACATATTAATGGGGTACAGAGTGATGTTTTGATACATGTATACATTATGTAATGAGCAAACCAGGATAATTAGCATATCCATCACCTTGAACACTTGTCATTTCTTTGTGGTAAGAATATTCAAAATTCCCTCTTCTAACTATTTTGAAATATACGGTACATTATTTTTTAACTATAGTCATCCTACTGTGCAATAGAACACCAGAACTTACTCCTTCTATCTAACTGTAACTTTGTGCGTGTTGACCAACCTCTCCCCATTCTTCCCTCTCCCCTGTTCTCCCCAGCCTCTGGTAACCACCATTCTACACTTTACTTCTATAAGATCAGCTTTTTAAAATTCCACATATAAGTTAGATCATGTGGTATTTGTACCTCTGTGCTTGGAAACTTTTATTTAACATAACGTTCTCTAGGTTAACTATGTTGTTGCAAATGACAGGATTTCATTATTTTTTATGGCTGGATAGTATTCCATTGTGTACATACACCCATTTTTTAATCCATTCATCCATTAATGAACACTTAGGTTGTTCCTATATTTTGCCTATTGTGAATAATGCTGCAATAAACATGGGGGTGCAGATATCTCTTCAACATATTGATTTCATTTCCTTTGGTTATATACCCAAAATAGGGGTTGCTGGGTCTTAGTGTAGTTCTGTTGTTAATTTTTTAAGAAAACTCCATGCTGTTTTCCATAATGCCTGCTCCAATTTACCTTCCCACCAACAGTGGCTAAGTGCTCTCCTTTTTCTACATCCTCACCAACATTTGTTATTTTTTTTATCTTTTTGATAGTCACTATTCTAACTGGGGTATGGTGACATCTCATTGAGGTTCTGATTTGCATTTTCCTGATGATTAGTGATATTGAGCATATTTTCATACACCTGTTGTCATTTGTATGTCTTCTTTTGAGAAATCTCTCTTCAGATCTTTTGCCCATTTTCAAAGTGAATTTATTTATTTCCTTTTCTGTTGAGTTGTTTGAGTTTCATATATATTCTGGATCTTAACCGCTTGTCAAATGCATAGTTTGTGACTATTTTCTTTCATTCTGTAGGCTATCTCGTCAACTCTGTTTATTGAGGTTTTGCTGTGTAGAAGCCTTTCAGTTTGATGTAATCCCATGTGTGCCTATTTTTACTTTGTTTTCTGTGCTTTTGAGGTCTTACTCCAAAAATTCCTTGCCCAAGCCAATGTCATAAGCATTTATCCAATTTTTTCCTCTAGTAGTTTTATAGTTTCGGATCTTACATTTAAGTCTTTAGTCCACTCTGAGTTGACTTTTGTTAAGTGGTGAGAGGTAGGAGTCTAGTTTCATTCTTCTGCATGTTTAGATTCAGTTTCCCAGCACCATTTATTGAAGAAACTGTTCTTTCCCCAGTGTGTGTTCTTGGCACCTTTATTGAAATTCAGTTGGCTTAAATGTGTGAATTTTTTTCTGGATAGTCTATTAATTTTTGTATTCATTGTAGAGACGGGGTTTTGCTATGTTGCTCAGGAGGGTCTCGAACTCCTGGACTCAAGCAATTTGCCTGCCTCAGCCTCCCAAAGTGCTGGGACTACAGGTGTGATCCACTGTGCCTGGCCTATAGTTTTTATTGTAGAGACCTTTCACCTCCTTGGTCAAATTCATTCATCGGTATTTTGTTGGTTTTATAGCTATTGTAAATGGGATTCTGTTCTTGATTTCTTTTTTTAGAAAATTCGTTGTTGGCATATAGAAACATTACGGATTTTTGTGTTTATTATGTATACAGCAACTTTACTGAATTTGTTTATTAGTTCCAGTAGTTTTTTGGTTGATTCTATAGGTTTTTTTATAATTAAGATCATGTCTTCTGCAAACAGAGACAACTTGACTCTCAATTTGACAATTGAGGAGCATGTCATTTAATTTCCATGTAGTTGTACAGTTTCCAAAGTTCCTAATGTTATTGATATCTAGATTTTTTTCCCTTGTGGTCAGAAAAGATACTTGATATGATTTTGATTTTTAAAAATTTGTGAAGACTTTTTTGTGGTCTAACATATGATCTGTCCTCGAGAATGAGAGTATTTCATTTGCTGTTGATTCTTCTTTTGTTTTTTTCTTCTTCCGTTCATTCTTTTCACCTTTTTAGTTTTCTTGCCTAATTGCTCTAGCTAAGACTACTAGTACTACATTGAATAGAAGTGGTGAAAACGAACATCCTTGTCTTGTTCCAGAATTTAGAAGTAAAGCTTTTAACATGTTTCCAGTCAGTAAGATGTTAGCTCTGGGTCTTTCCATATATGGCCTTATAGTGTTGAGGTACATTCCTTCTGTAACTAATTTGTTTAGGGTTTTTCTCATAAAGGAATGCTAAATTTTATTGAATGCTTTTTCTTTGTCTATTGGGATGATCATTTGGTTTACTTCCTTCATTCTGTTGATGTGATATATCACATTTATTTGATTTTCATACGTTTGAACATTCTTGCATCCCTGAGTTGAATCCTATTTGATCATGGTGAATGATCTTTTCAATGTGCTGTTGGATTCAGTTTGATAATATTTTGTTGATGATTTTTAAATTCATTTTCAACAGGAATATTGACCTGTAGTTTTCTTTTTTTTTTCTTGTGTCCTTGTCAGATTTTGGTATCAGAGTAATAATGGCCTTGGAGGATGAATTTGGAAGAATTCTCTCCAATTTTTCATCATGGTTTGAGAAGAATTGGCATTTGTTCTTTAAATATTGGTAGAATTTGGCAATGAAATCATTCAAACCTGGGCTTTTATTTGATGGGAGGCATTTTATTACTAATTCAATTTAGTTACTTGTTATTGGTCTGTTCAGGCTTTCTATTTCTTTGTGATTCAATCTCAGTAGTTTGTATGTGTCCAGGAAATTGTCCATTTATGTCAGGTTCTCCAATTTGTTGATGGTTAGTTGTTCATAATTGTCTCTAATGATCTTCTGAATTTCTGTAGTATTGGTTGTGATGCCTCCTGTTTCATCTCTTATTTTATTTATTCAAGTAGCCTTTTTCCTTAATTGGCATAGCTAAGGGTTTGTCAATTTTGTTAAAAAAGCAACTACTCATTTTATTGATCTTTTGTATTTTTTTAGTCTCTATTTTGTTTATTTCTGGTCTAATCTTTATTATTTCTTTCCTTCTATTTTTGAAGTTAGTTTGTTCTGGCTTTTCTAGTATTTTGAGATGAAACATTATGTTATTTGAAATATTTCTACATTTTGATGTAGGCATTCATTGCTAAAAACTTTCTTCTTAGAACTGTTTTTGCTGTATCTGATACATTTGTGATATATTGTGTTTCCATTTTCATTTGACTCAAGAATTTTTTTAATTAAAAATAAAATAAAATGTCTTAATTAAAAAATTTTTAAATTAACACACTAGTTATTGAGGAGCTTGTCATTTAATTTCCATGTAGTTGTACAGTTTCCAAAGTCCCTAATGTTATTGATATCTAGATTTTTTTCCCTTGTGGTCAGAAAAGATACTTGATATGATTTTGATTTTTAAAAATTTGTGAAGACTTGTTTTGTGGTCTAACATATGATCCGTCCTCGAGAATGAGAGTATTCCATTTGCTGTTGAGAAGAAGGTGTATTCTGTGGCTGTTGGATGGAACACTCTATAAATGTCTGTTAGGTCCATTTGGACTAGAGTGTGGTTTAACTGTACTGTTTTCTTGTTCAATTTTTGTCTAGATCACCTGTCCATTGCTGGATTTAGGTTGTTGAAGTTCACTACAATTATAGTATTACAGTCCTTATCTCCTTTTAGGTCTGTTAACATTTGCTTTATATATTTATTCTTCAACATAAGAAAACATTTTATATTGGGTGAATATAAAATTGTTATATCCTCTTGCTGTATTTACCCCTTTATAATTATATTATGGCCTTCATTGTTTCTTTTCACAGTTTTTGTTTAAGGTCTCTTTTTTTCTGATGTAAGTATAGCTGCTCCCACTTTCTTATGGTTTTCATTTGCATAGAATATCTTTTTTTCTATTCCTTCACTTTCAATCTATGTATCCTTACAGGTGAAGTGAGTCTCTTAGGGACAGCATATAATTGGGTATTGTTTTCTTCTCCATTCAGCCCCTCTGCTATAGTTTGGATACTTGACCCTCCAAAAATCATGTTGAAATTTGATCCCTAATGTTAGAGTGGAGCCTACTGGGAGGTGTTTGGGTCATGGAGGTGAAATGCCTTCCCTGGCATTGGGGTGTGTATGAGTTTTCATTCTGTGAATTCCCATAAGGGGTGGTTGTTAAAAAGAGCCTGGTACCTCCCCTTTCCCTCACTTTGCTCTTGCTGTGTGATGCCTGCACATGCTAGCTCCCATTTGCCTTCTGCCATGAGTGGAAGCAGTTTGAGGCCCTCATCAGAAGCAGATATCGACCCTATGCTTCTTGTACAGGCTGCAGAACAGTGAGCCAAATAATCCTCTTTTAAAATTACCTACCCTAAAGTATTGCTTTATAGCAACAAAAACAAACTAAGACATCTTCTATCTCTGTTAATTGGAGATTTACTTTGAATGCAAAGCCAATTTACATTCAAGGGAATTATTGATAGGCAAAGTCTAACTACTGCCACTTTGTTACTTATTTTCTAATTGTTTTGTAGGTTCCTTTTTTCTTTCTTCCTCTCTTACAGTCTTCTTTTGAGGTTGAGTGATTTTCACTAGTTGTATGTTTTGATTCCTTGCTTTTTTATTTTTAGTGTATCTTTTATAGGTTTTTGCTTTGTGGTTACTGTGAGGCTTTCAAATGCCAAGCTATAGTTATGGCAAGTTACTTTAAAATGATAACAACTTAACTACAATTGCAAAGAAAAAAAAGGAATAAAAAAAGCTGTACATTTTAACTACATTCTCATCCCAAATTTTGAATTTTTATTATCATAATTTCAATTTTTATATTGCCTGTTTCTTAATGAATTATTATAATTATTAATTTTGATAATTTTGTCTTATAGTTTTATACTAAAGATATGTGTTTTCAGAATCATAAGTTATCTATTATTGCAGTATTTGAATAACAATCATGGTACCATCAATTTCCTTTGGTTTGTAGAACTCTCTGTAGCATTTTTCATAGGACAGGTCTGGTAGCAATAAGTTTCCTCAGTTTTTGTTTGTCTGGGAATGTCTTTATTTCTCCTTCATTTTTGAAGCTTACTAGGTAAAATATTTTTGGTTGACAGTTGTTTTTATTCAGCATTCTGAATATATTATCGTATTATCTTCTGGCCTGCAAGATTTCTGCTGAGAAGTCTTCTGCCTGGCATATTAGATCTCCATTATATGCTATTTGCTTCTTTTTTCTCACTGCTTTCAGGAATCTTTTTT
Source organism: Homo sapiens (assembly GCF_000001405.40). NCBI lineage: Eukaryota > Metazoa > Chordata > Mammalia > Primates > Hominidae > Homo > Homo sapiens. The sequence goes on from NW_003315967.2 coordinate 21,728, forward strand.
TGTTTAGACCTTTGAGAGTTTGATTATAATGTATCTTAGAGTATTCTTATTTGGGTTGAATCTAATTAGTGACCTATGATCTTCCTAACCTGAATAATTTTATCCTTCTACAGATTTGGGAAATTTTGTGCTATTATTTCTTTGATTTATCATTCCACCCCTTTGTCTTTCTCATTTTCCTTTTTAACTTAATTAACCCAAATATTTGCTCTTTTGATGTAGTTCCATAGATCCTATATGCTTTCTGTGTTCCGTTTTGTTTTTTTCTCTTTTATTGTCTATGTATTTTCAAATATGCTTTCTTTGAGCTTACTGACTCTTTCTTCTGTTTGATCAATTCTGCTGTTCATGGTCTTTATTACATTTTTCATTTTATTCATTGTATTTTTGGCTCCAGGATTTCTGTTTGGTGTTTTTATTATTTTAATCTCTCTGTTAAGTTTATGTTAAATTTCTGATTTTTTTGTTTTACTGAATTTTGCTGAGCTTCCTTAAAACAGCTATTTTGAATTCCTTGCATAAGAGATCGCACATCTCCATCACTGTAGGGTCTGTTATTGGTGTTTTATTTTGTCATTTTGATGAGGTTACATTTTCCTAAATGGTCTTGTTGCTTATGGATGTGTGATGATATCTGCCCATTGAAGATTGTGTTATGTTTCCTGAGTTCGTAACCACTGCAGCTATCTCAACACTAGAGGATGCTCTAAGCCCAGATTTGCCATGAGTCGCATGAGGATGCCAAGGATGTGGTGACTCTGGCAGGGATGAATCCGAGGAAGGTCCAAGAAGGTACCCAGGCTGTGAGGGAAAGCTAACCAGGAACCAGAAGACGAAGAGATGCCTTCCAGCAGATCCCTACACACGCAGGATAGGTTTTTGACTGTAGCCTAAATAAGCATGCCTTCCAGCAGATCCACATGCAGGATAGGTTTTTTTACTGTAGCGAGAGGAGCTGGAGCTGAGACTGGGTCCCCTTGGGATCTCCTGTGGAAGGGTGGGAGGTGAGCTCATTTTGTTATCTCAGAGAGGCATGTCTTGAATTTTTGTTAATTGGCTTCCTTTTTACTCTCTCTAGCCTTTTCTTGTAGAAATCATACTGTATGAATGTTGGGCTCTTGGGAATTTTTCTCTGTCTCTTGATGGTTTATTTTCTGTTTTGAAACTGTATTTATTTTCTATGTGTTCTGGGAAAATTCTCCCATCTTCTCTTCCAACTCACTGATTTTCTTTTCAGCAGTGGATATTTGGACTATATATTAAGTTTTTTTTTTAATTTTAGCAAATATACTTTGCTCTTTTTTCATAACCTTCTATGATACTTCCTACATAAAATATCGCCTGCATCACTTTGAGGATAATTATCTTTTCTGGTTACTTAACTATCAATACCTTTTGTGTGTTTTTTTTTTTCTCAGGGTGTTGCTTTTCATCAAAACTCATCTATGAACTGAGAATTTCTGCTGAACTGTCAGCAGCCAGCCTCAGAGGAAAGGTGGAATCACCTGCCAAGGGCTTATACTTCATATTGTTTTTAGTTAGAGTAAAGGGATGGGAGTAATGTCTCAGCAACTGGTTTTCTGACTCTAATTTCTTTTCTCTTTTTTTTTTGGACATGAAAATGGGTTTATTTATTTATTTTTATTTTATTATTATTTATTATACTTTAAGTTTTAGGGTACATGTGCACAACGTGCCGGTTTGTTACATATGTATACATGTGCCATGTTGGTGTGCTGCACCCATTAACTCGTCATTTAGCATTAGGTATATCTCCCAATGCTATCCCTCCCCCCATCCCCCACCCCACAACTGTCCCCGGTGTGTGATGTTCCCCTTCCTGTATCCATGTGTTCTCATTGTTCAGTTCCCACCTATGAGTGAGAACATGCGGTGTTTGGTTTTTCGTCCTTGAGATAGTTTGCTGAGAATGATGGTTTCCAGCTCCATCCATGTCCCTACAAAGGACATGAACTCATCATTTTTTATGGCTGCATAGTATTCTATGGTGTATATGTGCCACATTTTCTTAATCCAGTCTATCACTGTTGGACATTTGGGTTGGTTCCAAGTCTTTGCTATTGTGAATAGTGCCACAATAAACATACGTGTGCATGTGTCTTTATAGCATCATGATTTATAATTCTTTGGGTATATACCCAGTAATGGGATGGCTGGGTCAAATGGTATTTCTAGTTCTAGATCCCTGAGGAATCGCCACACTGTCTTCCACAATGGTGGAACTAGTTTACAGTCCCACCAACAGTGTAAAAGTGTTCCTATTTCTCCACATCCTCTCCAGCACCTGTTGTTTCCTGACTTTTTAATGATTGCCATTCTAACTGGTGTGAGATGGTATCTCATTGTGGTTTTGATTTGCATTTCTCTGATGGCCAGTGATGATGAGCATTTTTTCATGTGTCTTTTGGCTGCATAAATGTCTTCTTTTGAGAAGTGTCTGTTCATATCCTTCACCCACTTTTTGATGGAGTTGTTTGTTTTTTTCTTGTGAATTTGTTTGAGTTCATTATAGATTCTGGATATTAGCCCTTTGTCAGGTGAGTAGGTTGCAAAAATTTTCTCCCATTCTGTAGGTTGCCTGTTCACTCTGACGGTAGTTTCTTTTGCTGTGCAGAAGCTCTTTAGTTTAATTAGATGCCATTTGTCAATTTTGGCTTTTGTTGCCATGCTTTTGGTGTTTTAGACATGAGGTCCTTGCCCGTGCCTATGTCCTGAATGGTATTGCCTAGGTTTTCTTCTAGGGTTTTTATGGTTTTAGGTCTAACATCTAAGTCTTTAATCTATCTTGAATTTATTTTTGTATAAGGTGTAAGGAAGGGATCCGGTTTCAGCTTTCTACATATGGCTAACCAGTTTTCCCAGCACCATTTATTAAATAGGGAATCCTTTCCCCATTGCTTGTTTTTGTCAGGTTTTTCAAAGATCAGATAGTTGTAGATATGTGGCATTATTTCTGAGGGCTCTGTTCTGTTCCATTGATCTATATCTCTGTTTTGGTACCAGTACCATGCTGTTTTGGTTACTGTAGCCTTGTAGTATAGTGTGAAGTCAGGTAGCATGATGCCTCCAGCTTTGTTCTTTTGGCTTAGGATTGACTTGGGAATGCGGGCACTTTTTTGGTTCCATATGAACTTTAAAGTAATTTTTTCCAATTCTATGAAGAAAGTCATTGGTAGCTTGATGGGGATGCATTGAATCTATAAATTACCTTGGGCAGTATGGCCATTTTCACGATATTGATTCTTCCTACCCATGAGCATGGAATGTTCTTCCATTTGTTTGTATCCTCTTTTATCTCAATGAGCAGTGGTTTGTAGTTCTCCTTGAAGAGTTCCTTCACATCACTTGTAAGTTGGATTCCTAGGTATTTTATTCTTGAAGCAATTGTGAATGGGAGTTCACTCATGATTTGGCTGTCTGTCTGTTATTGGTGTATAAGAATGCTTGTGATTTTTGCACATCGATTTTGTATCCTGAAACTTTTCTGAAGTTACATATCAGCTTAAGGAGATTTAGGGCTGAGACAATGGGGTTTTCTAGATATACAATCATGTCATCTGCAAACAGGTACAATTTGACTTCCTCTTTTCTTAATTGAATGCTCTTTATTTCCTTCTCCTGCCTGATTGCCCTGGCCGGAACTTCCAACACTATGTTGAATAGGAGTGGTGAGAGAGGGCATCCCTGTCTTGTGCCAGTTTTCAAAGGGAATACTTCTAGTTTTTGTCCATTCAGTATGATATTGGCTGTGGGTTTGTCATAGATAGCTCTTATTATTTTGAGATACGTCCCATCAATACCTAATTTATGGAGAGTTTTTAGCATGAAGGGTTGTTGAATTTTGTCAAAGGCCTTTTCTGCATCTATTGAGATAATCATGTGGTTTTTGTCTTTGATTCTGTTAATATGCTGGATTACGTTTATTGATTTTCATATGTTGAACCAGCCTTGCATCCCAGGGATGAAGCCCACTTGATCATGGTGGATAAGCTTTTTGATATGTTGCTGGATTTGGTTTGCCAGTATTTTATTGAGGATTTTTGCATCAATGTTCATCAAGGATATTGGTCTAAAATTCTCTTTTTTGGTTGTGTCTCTGCCAGTCTTTGTTATCAGGATGATGCTGGCCTCATAAAATGAGTTAGGGAAGATTCCCTCTTTTTCTATTGATTAGAATGGTTTCAGAAGGAATGGTACCAGCTCCTCCTTGTACCTCTGGTAGAATTCGGCTGTGAACCCATCTGGTCCTGGACTATTTTTGGTTGGTAAGCTATTAATTATTGCCTCAATTTCGTAGCCTGTTATTGTTCTATTCAGAGATTCAACTTCTTCCTGGTTTAGTCTTGGGAGGGTGTATGTGTCGAGGAATTTATCCATTTTTTCTAGATTTTCTAGTTTATTCGCTTAGAGGTGTTTATAGTATTCTCTGATGGTAACTTGTATTTCTGTGGGATTGGTGGTGATATCCCCTTTGTCATTTTTTATTGCATCTATTTTATTCTTTTCTCTTTTCTTCTTTATTAGTCTTGTTAGTGGTCTATCAATTTTGTTGATCTTTTCAAAAAACCAGCTCCTGGATTCACTGATTTTTTGAAGGGTTTTTTGTGTCTCTATCTCCTTCAGTTCTGCTCTGATCTTAGTTATTTCTTGCCTTCTGCTAGCTTTTGAATGTGTTTGCTCTTGCTTCTCTAGTTCTTTTAGTTGTGATGTTAGGGTGTCAATTTTAGATCTTTCCTGCTTTCTCTTGTGGGCATTTAGTGCTATAAATTTCCCTCTACACACTGCTTTCAATGTGTCCCAGAGATTCTGGTATTTTGTGTCTGACTCTAATTTCTGCCTAGTCCCCCATGGGGTCATCACTCATCTGGGTTAACACTATGTTCCTTTGGCCCAAACACAATGTCCAATCCTGGAGACAAAGCCTACTGACATTACAGGGACATGACACACAAGGGTGTATGGTTGCAGAGTCAGCCAATGTGGATGCTCTCCTTGTAGTAACAAAGTAATCTTGTCAATTGAACCATGTTCTGCATAATAGTGAGAAGATTGCTGTTAGCATTTAACAATGTATTTAGAACATATTTCTAGGTGTTTTTTTCTGTGACTGCACAATATTCCATTCTATACCTGTATTATGATGTGTGTAATTACTCCCTGGTAGTTTTCAATTTTTTTTTTTTTCGAGATGGAGTTTCACCCTTTCACCCAGGCTAGAGTGAAGTGACACAATCTCAGCTCACTGCAGCCTCTGCCTCCTAGGTTCAAGCAATTCTCCTGCCTCTGCTTCCTGAGTAGCTGGGATTATAGGCACCCGCCGCCATGTCTGGCTAATTTTTGTATTTTTTTAGTAGAGATGGGGTTTCAGCATTTTGGCAAGGCTGGTCTTCAACTCCTGACCTCTGGTGATCCACCTGCCTTGGGCTCCCAAAGTGCTAGGATTACAGGCGTGAGCCACTGCGTCAGGCCAAAAAGTTTTTTTTAGTAGAGATGGGGTCTCATTGTCTTGTCCAGGCTGATCTTGAAATCACCTCAAGCATGCCTTTCAGTTTGGCCTCCCAAAGTGCTGGGATTATAGTTCTGAGTCATTGCACCCAGCCCCTGGTAAATTTTTAAGTTGTTTCTAGTATTATGCTATTGTAAACAGCAATAGCATAATAGATATTTGACTAGATATTCTTGGCATCAGCTTTGTAGAATATATTCTTAGAAGTACAATTGCTGGGTCATAAAGCCTACACATTTTTAAACAATTTGTACTCCCATCAACAATGTAGGAGAGCATGTTCTTCCACTTTCAAATCAAACCTAACCTTTTTAATTTGCCAAGCTGATACAGGAAAAATGGTATCTGACTATTATATTGCCTTATATTGCTTCCATTATAAAAATTTTCTGTTATATTTCTTTCTAGTATGATTACAATTTTGTTGTTTTCACATTTACGTTTTTTGTTGTTGAGATGGAGTTTTGCTCTTGTTGCCCAGGCTGGAGTGCAACGGCACAATCTCAGCTCACCATGACCTCTGCCTCCTGGGTTCAAGCGATTCTCTGGACTCAGCCTCCTGAGTAGCTGGAATTACAGGGATTCGCCACCATGCCCAGCTAATTTTGTATGTTTAGTAGAGACAGGGTTTCTCCAAATTGGTCAGGCTGGTCTCGAACTCCCGACCTCAGGTGATCCGCCCGCCTTGGCCTCCCAAAGTGCTGGGATTACAGGCATGAGCTACCACCACGCCTGGTCTGTTTTCACATTTACATTTTAAGTGATCTGTCATTTATTACGGTACAATTGTGAAACAAGGATCCAACTATTCTTTTTCATTTGACAACTAATTGTCTCAGTACTATTTGTTGGATAAAATATTCTTTCCCCACTGAAATGAAATGCCAGATTTATCATTTGTACATTCTAATATGTACCTGCATTATTTTATGAGCTTTATTTAGGTCAAGCGATCTATTTCTCTGTTGTTGTATCTGTACTATACTTTATAGTTAAAACAAAGAAATACATTTAAATTCCTGGAAGGCCACAAACCTCATTATTATTTTCAAAAATTTTGTAGCTTTTGTGCTCACTGGTCAGATTTCAAAAGGAAAAAAAAAGAGTCAAGCTTCTACTTGGAATACTTTAAAATTTATCTAATAATTGGAATGTATCTTACTGGGATTGTATTTTCAATTGGGAAAAGGATATGCCTCTTCCTATTCCTTTCTTGTTAAATTTATACCTAGGTATTATCAAATTTTGTTACTAATGTGAATTAGATTTTTCTCTCTTTTTTCCCTTTTGTATGTTACTTTTACTTATAGAGAAAAACTATTGATATTTGTAAATTTTCTTATATACAGCAACTTTATAGAACTTATTAGCTCTAAAATTATTTTAGTTATTTATTTTGGATTACAAGGGCATATAATTACATTATCTGCAAATGATAATAGCTTTATCTCTTCTTTTTCAAAATATAGTCAATTAGTGAATGCATTTCCAAAATTTGTTTCATGAGCTAAACTCTATATACTATTGGTGACAGTCGTACCTGTCTGGCTCCTGACTTTATTGGAACGCTTTTAGTATACCACCTTTTAATATTTCCAGTTTCTGATAAATATATTTTTGATGTTTCAGAAATTGTCTTTATTATTATTATTATTGTTATTATTTTGAGATGGAGTCTTGCTCTGTTGCCCAGGCTGGAGTGCAGTGGCACAATCTCGGCTCACTGCAACCTCTGCCTCCAGGGTTCGAGCAATTCTCCCTGCCTCAGCCTCCCGAGTAGCTGAGATGACAGACGCCTGTCACCACACCTGGCTAAATTTTTGTATATTTAGTAGAGATGAGGTTCTGCCATGTTGGCCAGACTGGTCTTGAACTCCTGACCTCAGGTGATCCACCCACCTCAGCCTCCCAAATTGCTGGGATTACAGGTGTGAGCTACCACTCTTGGGCATCTTTTTTATTATGTTAGAAACATTTTTTAAAAATATTAGAAATATCTGACACATTTTATGGAGAGGGAGTAGTAGTAATCCTACATCATCTGAGAAAGTACATTTGGTCTGATCTGGATTCTTTCTCTGTGTGTCTTCTATTTCTCTTGTCCCATGTGGTCATCAATGGGATGTATGCTATTTACTTTTTTATTTTTTATTTTATGTTTATGTCTTTAACCAGAGCGCATAAAGTGTGGAATCTTTCTCAACTGGTTTCCTTTGGAAGACTTGATTTTGTTCAAAATTTCACCAAATCCTGTCTGTGGACATGTAGTGCTTTCACGCCCTTCTTTCATGTACCTTTTTCCCACCCAGATTTATGTTCTCTTTGGCAACGCTGTTCTCTGTGGTGGCAGCAAACTCAGTGCAGTGAGGGAGGGGGAAATTTTATATCTTCTTTGTTAGTAATAAATACTTTCTGCCTGTAGTCCAAAATAAGAATAAATTACCCACTGTGCAGAAACATGGAAGTCATGATATTCTCAATAAAGCACCATTAAACAGTCCCCTGGCAGTCATGGTTTGGGGTGTTACTGTTTACAATACCGTGGGGGTTACGTTTCCATTAGATTTTGAATAATTTAGCAATAAAATACAAATTGTTTATTCCATAATGTCTAACTTTATTTTGCACTGTTTACACTTTAGCATTTTACTAGTGTTGAGGGATGGCATCCAGGATATTTGCATCTTTACTTCTGACATTTATGTAAAAAAAGAAAGAATGGAGGAGACTTTGGGTTATCAAGCAAGTTGGCAATGTGGATGATTATAGTTATGGCTCTCAAGTTAATTCTTAAAAATTAGACCTTTCCACAATCAAATAAAACTGGATAATTGACATGTCTCTGAGTATTTTCCGTTCTAACAATATGTGGTACCAGTAAGAACTTTAATGCACGATATTTTATCCTTTGCTTGCTATGTAAGATGTCTCTAAATTTACTATTTACCTTCCTTTGGCCTTTTACCATGCTAGTTGTTTTATTTTTCTCATAACTAAGATTGCCTCATTCTCACAAACCTCCTTTATTTGGTAAACTTTTAAATTTGGTTGCCACTCTCTGGATTTCTTTCCATTTCTTGATGTACTTTGATGAAGAAAACTCAAAACCTGAATTCTTATGGCTTTTAAAATGCCAAGTAGGGCAAAAAAAATTACCTCCCTTGTTTTTACATGTGATACTGTTATTAACAACTCTTCAACTTAGTGTGTATTTTTTGGGCAAGAATACTTAGTGTTGACTAATCATTTCTATTTCCGTTTCTTTCCTTATAATCTTGAGGGCAATGCATAAAAAAAACAGAAAATAAAATTTAAAGCATGCAGCAGAGATGGAGGGGATCACAGGAAGGTGGTATTTTGGCTTTTCAAAATTAGCTTACCATCTGTGATATTTGCTAGGCAAATAAAGTTTGGGTATTAAATCAACAATATATTGACAATTATATAAAATCTGAATGCCACCTTGCATCTACTATACTTTAGTAATGATGTAAATAGTATCACATTAAACATTCTTTTTGCCGATGCTATTATAATTTTACTTAGTTCCTGTAGTTCTTCAGCTTTTAGTTTTACACTTCCAACTAATCATCTCATTTTATCATTTTACTTTTATTCTAGATACAAGTCCATACTTACTGACCGTAAGTATGAATTCAAGGGTATTTCATAGCATTTTACAGATTGTAAAGAGATTTCAGGTACATAATCTCACTTGATCCTACAGCCTTATGGCGTGGCCAGAAAATAAATTCTTAGCTCCGCTTTACAGATGGAAATGGAGGCTCAGACGACTTCTCAGGCTGTCTAATGGATTAGCAAATGTGGCTAACACATGGATACCCATTAGTAGAACCTGGGCCAACAAACAGTTCTTTTGACCCCTGGTCTTTGCTTGTTCCAATACACATCTTCACAGAAAAGTTTGGTTATAATTTAGCTCTAGGTTTCATCACTGAGGTCAGACTATGCCACAGCATGTTGATGGAAGTACTTAAGAGTAGATGGAATGAAAATGGAAAACATAAGAAGGAAGGAAGAAAGAAAGTAAGTCGAGGAAGGAGATAAAGAGAGCAGAGTCTCATGCAATTGCCTGTGGGTCAGTGGTACCACTGTCACAGGTCACCAATCCAAATTTAATAATTAAATATAACTGAGCCGTTTATTATTTAATGTGTAAAAGATGCCAGTAGGAGGATATATGGGTATCTGTTACTTGTGTAACTAATATTCCCAATTCGTGTGTGTGATTTATGTTTGTTATAGTAAGAAAATTAACCAACAAAATCTTTAAGCCCTGGACCTCCGAAATCACATGTATTCCTTTCTCAGGAAGAGGCAGAAGAGCCTCACACACTCACCTCACTGCCACTGTGAGAGCTGCTTCCTGTCCTGGGACTAGCCTGGGTGTTGTTCCTCCTGAATTCAACCAATCCTCCCACCTCAGCCTCCCATAGTGTTGGGATTACAGGCGTGAGCCACTGCACCTAGCCAACACATATTTTTGAAACATGGTCTGTGACAGTCACAAAGTATGTAGAAATGAATAGGTATTTGTTTGAGGGAAGGCAGATGCTTATAATATATTTTGATAAAGGGACATTTAGTTGTATAAATAAGAAATCTTGCTTGGGAGGCCATCATCGCCCTAATAGGAGGATTACTCATTTATCCACATTTGGCCTCTCAACCCCTTTCCTATTTTAGAAGGTGGCGTGAGAGTCCATTCTTGGAGTGACAGACAGCCAATGGCATTAAAGGTATTAAATACTTTACCCTGTTATGTTGTGGACTGGCAGGGGACCACTTTACTAGTTGGTAGGAAAACCCACTAGCACAAAAACTATTTTTAGTAGCAAATGTGCATTAAATGCTGTCATGCAATTAGACATCCTTGCAGATCAGGGACACAGTTAAGTAGACAGAAAAGTTAGTGGGATAATATTGTGGTATTGAACTACACCAGGGATAATAGCATTGATTCACCCCAAAAGGATATTGTAAATAATAACCAATTAATTGTTGCAGAAATTTTGAAAGTAAATCAATGAAAATCAGGGAGACAGATTGGGCGAGTCAATGATTTTGTTCAGTTTTTTCGAAAATCCTCCTGAGTCCTCTGTGGTCAGGGTTAATGACATATTTGCAGTTCTGCCTATTAGAGGCCTTGAGAAATTTTATCTTGTTGTTGTGACCTGAGTGCAGACTCTTCTGAAGTACCTATGCTTTCTTCTTTGCTCATTACTGAAACCTGAAAACAACAAGGCTGACAGTAGAAAAACACCTCTAGAAACCTCAGGGGAAAAATTATCCTTCAGTGTTTATTTTGCCTGAGGAAACAACCAGAAGTCTCTGATGATGAAGTGAAGGTCCATCATTTTGGAAAAGTGTCCAGGAAAGATGTGTTTTTCTGTCTCCTGCATTGCAGTCTTGCCATTCGCCTTTTCCTTTTCTCAAAATGCAAATAGCATGCATTGGCTTCTCTGACCCTCCGTCTTTCCTGTCATTCCTACAGTTATGTTGAGAAAATGACATCTTTACACAAGGTCAAGTATTTGCCATGTTAGAAACAATATTTTTTCCCAAGAATTCTGTTTTCAAGATACACAGGTAAGAAGTTAGTTTACTTAAATCCTTCAATCAACTTTTATTTATTTGAACCATAAATAATGTACCCACTTTATAGAAATTTTGGATGAGTTACATGGAGGTTAGCGTTTAATGAAAGTTTTATCCTTCTTTACTCTGTCATCTCTTTGAGTCCCTGGTGGTGTTCAATAGCCTAAGCATTCCTCCTGCTTGAGGTTGTTTTTAAGATATGGTAAAGTTATGAGGCAGTCATTGCAAACAGATGAAAAATGACAGCAGCTTTAAGGACATGTGTGCACCTAAGGGAAGATTTTGAAGGTTTAAAATTAGCCAAAGATTACTCCTCAATTTTCTTCAACTCCCAACCAATATAAAGATACTCACTTTCTAAATAGACTAGCTGAAAATAATTTTAAAATGCTTATTATTGTACTAATTCATAATAAGAACAGCTTACATACACTGGGTGCTTCCTGTGTGCATCTGATATGCATTATCTTATTTAATGCTCACCATGAGTGTGTATAGTAGATCTTTTAATAATCCCCCACTTTACTGGTAAATTGGCTATCCCTTCACCTCACCCTTACATCATCACCAGTCCTATTGATTTGATTCTATCTCCAGTATACAACTCAAACAAGCCACTGAGCTCAAATCCAGGGGCAATGTGCTAATTTAAGTCACTATTATCTCTCACTTAGCCTGCTGCAATAGCAATTTTATTTTCCATTCTGACTCCCATCCAATTCTCTTAGTAGCCAGAATTACCTTTTAAAAATGCATATTGAGTCATGTGGCTCCTCCACAAAAAATTCTGGTCTGCAAAATTCTGCAGGCATTGACCCACCATGCCCTGCCTGTTCTGACCCTGCTGCTTACTTCTCCATTCTTACCTTTTACAGCCTCTTCTTGCTCACCCCATTCCAGGCTCATGGTAGTCTTTCCCTTCTAGAGCATGCATTCTTGTCTTCACATGTGCTGTTTGTACCCAGGCTGCCTGAAGTACTCCCCCAGAATTTGCCTGGCTACTCTAAGTCCTTATTAGTTCTCTGATAAAAGACTGCTCCTCAACGTTTCCCCAACTTAGCCATCTAAACGAGGTTGATTTGCTCTATGCTCTCATACAGTGTTCATATCTATATATTTGTATCTCTATGTCATAAATTCTGTTGTTTTATCTACACAGGCAGATTTTTGTCTTGCCAATTAGTATGCAGGAAGACATTTAATGATTTTTTCACTGTAAGTCAAAAATCCTTTAAGATTTCATTAATAATTTTTGGAGGTGCTTTTTAAGAGTTGGTGACCAAAAGAAGCCAACGTAGCATAGTATGCTAACATTTTATTCTAAAATCCTGGTTTGCAGTGTTCTGTGGGAGCTTTTTCTGAAACCTCTGCCTTTCCCTACCCAAGTCTTAAGGCCACCCATACCTTGACTCCACCACCAATCAGGATCTAGCCAATACAGCAGGTGCAGGACTTCCCTTCCGAAATTACCACTCCCAACTCCCTGGGGCAGTAACACTTAACTTCCTCCGTCCAAAATGCATAGCAATTCTACCTGGTCCAGCTTCTAGCTACAAACCCACACCCATTACAACTTGATCTACACAAAACAATCCAGCCACCAAAAACTGTTTAAAAAGCTGTGGAATATGTGTAACTTAGGATCTATTTTCTATCAGTATATCAAAGAGATATCTGCACTCCTATGTTATGTTTATTTCTGTGATCAATTATTCAATGAACGTCTTCTCACTAGACTAAACTCTATAATAGCAGAAAACATTATTATCATGTTTGTAGTTATACCTCCTAACCCTAGCACAGTGCCTGGATCATGAAAAGCAATCAGTACACAGTTCTCGAATGAATGCAATAACTTGCACAAAATCACACAGCATTAAGTGTTGGATCCAGAACTTAAATCCAGATATGCATCTGATTCCAAAGGCCGTGCCCGTTTAAAAAGAATACCAAAAAGCCACAGCTGACGTAATTACTATGAAATGTGTATACAAACGCGTATGTGGCCTTACACAGATTTTATTTGTGTTTGTGAATTAAAGGTGTGCAAAATGTAGTTTTGGAGAGGCTGCATCTTGGTGACATGGCCTAAAATTCATTCATGCCTAAAAGAGCACCGGAGGCCATTATGAGAACGTGTAGATGTATTTTTGCTAAAAGTGATCTACTGATCATTGATCATCTCACCATCTTCCTCCTCTTATCGCATAATTAAAAACTAGAGAATGGAAAGAAATCTCCAGGATCATAAGACAAAATAATGCCCAGTAAAGTTTCTGTTTCAAGGAATTGAATGGCACTTTCCTGTCATGGCAATAGAAGATTTAAAGGCATGGATTTATGTAAATTCTTTGGGGAGCTGTCACATGGCCCACAAGGTTCATCTTCAGTCAGGTATCAGAAGGTTCTGCAAAGAAGCATAGCAGATAACATCTAGCAATACATAGGAGATAACATGTAGCAATGTTCTGGGCTAGCCAGTTCCCCAGGAGGCTCCCTCTGTGGTTTCTGAATGGCCCATTTCATTCTGCATACAAAAAAAGAGCAGTGTTTTCTTTCATTAGGTTTTATTCTCATATTATCAATGGTAATTCAATTATTCATTTATCCATATACTGGTAGGTGATTCCCAACATCATTTATTAAATTGAAAGTAACAAAATTCTAAGTTATACTTGCCACCAATCCAATTTCTCTTTTTTTGTTATAAATATAATACTTTAGAATATTTGGAAAGTATTGAAAAAAGTGGACTGATTATTTAAAAGTCTCCAAACCTATGGATATCCACAATTAATATTTTGATGTGTGTATGGACACATACATCTCAATGCTCACACACACCATTACTACATGGTTAAAGAAACTGAGGCTTTCCCTTTCTATGAAACATAGCAGGAATTCTAGTATACCAAGACGAAGGGTTTCACATTGCCTTTCATTCCATGTCAAGTGCAATGCTTAATCTCTATGCAGACGTGACCTGGTCTTCTCCCAGTCCTCCCCTGGATAAGTGGAATTTTCATTGGTTGGAGTGGTACCCTGACGCTAAGCTGTCTCTCTTCACTTAGCGATTGAGGGGATGATAAAGGGGTTTTGCTTATAGCTTAGCTCTTAAGGACTACAAAGCTAGGCTCTAGTAAGGGTCAAGATTGTGAGCCCATTTGTGAAATCAAGTCATAAGTCACTTTTGCCACTATTTGAAGTCACAAGATTCCCCCTTATTCAAAAAGATATACGTAATATACAGAGATAACAAGAAAGATTTCCAAACAAGATTCTATAAACAAGATAATTTAAACAAGATTCATGAAGATGTTACTCATTTTCTTGGTCCAGGTATACAGCTTATATTTCAAAACAATCTATAATTGCTTTATCTTACCTTGCTTATGGCAAACTCCTCTTTTTTCTATCTTGAGAAAATAAAGACAACAGAAATGTCCTAGAACTATTTATTTAATTTAATTAATCAAATTTAACTCTTATAAGATACCTAAGGTTACATAATATATTTGCTTAGAGTGCCGTAACAAAGTACCACAGACTGGGTGGTTTAAACGGCAGAAACTCGTTTTCTCACAGTTCTGCAGGCTAGGGGTTCGAGATCAAGGTGTTGGCAGAGTTGATTCCATTCAGAGGCTTCTCTTCTTGTGTTGTAGATGGCTGTGTTCTCACACGATCTTCCCTCTGTACATGTTTGTATCCTAACATCTTCTTAAAAGGACACCATTCATATTGGATTAGAACCCATCCTAATGACCTCATGTTAATTCAATTATTCTCTTTAAAAACCTTACCTCCACATAAAGTTATATTCTGAGGTGCAAGAGGCAAGGACTTCAACATATGAATCCTGGGGGGAGACAATTAAGTCCATTGCACGTAGGTGGTGAATTAAGGGTCTGAGGTTTAAACAATGTTTTTTTTCTGACTCAAAGACCAGATTTTTTCACTGGACGAAAGCTGCCTCTATGTTGTTAATTCTCTTCTCCACTGCCTATATTCCATATCATTAAGCAACTTCACCTCCCACCATCCCAAGGTGGAGCTAGTTGCTAGTAAGATTTTGAAGAAATTAAAGTCCTTCCTCTCTTCAGAAGGTGGAGTAGATGAACTATAAGGATAAGAGGTGGCAATCCGTAAGTAAAGTGATTGAAATGCAGATTATGAAAGTTGTATCATTATTAGTCTGGAAAAGAGACATTTATTGAATGAATATAAATTGTTTGCCACTAACTGCTAGACTTATTGAATTCTACTCAACTAGTGAGATCTAGTTTAAGGGGAAAACAATAGAAAGTCCCTAGGTCTATCTAGTCATTGTTTTATTTGTTCTTCACCATAACCTGTTAGGTGGATAAAGTTCCTTTATTTTTATCATTTTAGAGAATAAGGAGTAGAAGCTCAGAGAGTTTGTGTAACTTGCTCAAGTAGTGGAACTAGGACTCCAACCCATTTCTTTTGATTCAGAGTACAGTGATCTTTTGCCTGTACTTGCTGTCTCCCCATTCAATGTACCCACAGGATGCTGTGTGAAGTTCTGTAGGTAATTTGTAGATTCACCACGGGATGTGCTCTCAAAGAACTTTCTTTGTGAAACATCAAACTATCATACTCCTCACCCTCCTCACTCTGCCCCTACTGAAGCCTACAGGTGCAGAAATGGATATGCACATCCACACTCATGATGTCTTATAGTCTTATATCTTTCTTTCTTTCTTTCTTTCTTTTTTTTTTTTTGGAGACAGAGTTTCACTCTTGTTGCCCAGGCTGGAGTGCAATGGTGTGATCTTGGCTCACTGCAACCTCCGCCTCTTGGGTTTGAGCAATTCTCCTGCCTCAGCCTCTCAAGTAGCTGGGATTACAGGCATGCGCCACCACGCCTGGCTAATTTTTTGTATTTTAAGTAGAGATGGGGTTTCTCCATATTGGTCAGGCTGGTCTCAAACTCCTGACCTCAGGTGATCTGCCTGCCTCCGCCTCCCAAAGTGCTGGGATTACAGGTGTGAGCCACTGCGCCTGGCCATGAAGTCTTATTTCATATTATACTTTTATTCATGTTCTAGAAGTGGGACTTACTCAGAAGTGTAAGCAACTGACTGCTATGGAGTATGACTGGAAAGTTCACAAGCTCACATCTGCCCTAAAATATCTCTCCACCTATCTGCCAAGATGCCATACTTTCTTTCAACCAACTTTAACATCTTATCTGTAAGCATACTAGAATTGGAAAAACAAACAAACAACAAAAAAACCTGGTTCAATTATTTCTATAACAGTGCCTTTCACTAGTGAGTGTGAAATCAGTTTTGCAGGTCAAAACCAGCATTTCAAATATGAAGTAGAAAAAATAAAATAGAAAATATTTAAGTGAAGTGCATGAAATTGGGGGAAATATTATTTCATGACATTTTGTTTCCATTTTTTTCTTTGTGTATGTGAGACCTCACATACTAAATCCTTATGAAAAATTTATTTCTTGGGAGATGACAGTGAAAAAAAAGGTTAAGAAGTAATCTTTTTTAAAAAATAACTTTATGCTTTTTGATTTGAGGATTGTTTTGACAATATGATAAAAGTTATGGTTCTTCTCTCAAAATAAAGGCACACAAATCTACACACCTATGTTTTGGGTACAAACGTAAAGGGCTGATAAACCATATGACTCTCATCCACTGTGCTCAAGTTGAGGACATCTGCTCTAGCTAAAAATGGCATGTATTCTCTGGAAAGGGAAGAAATGGCCCTGGAGATCTCTTCTGTGCTCTTGGCCTCAACATTTAAATATTCAGCCTGAATGCCTTTAGTATTTTAAAGCTAACAGCATAGCCTGAAGCGGATGAGATGATGAGATGTTAGCACATTTGGTTAATAACTTTTTATTAAATAAAGTAAAACTAAGTATATGGCGATGTTCAAACCATTCCACACCAGCTCCACTGAACTTACATTCCAAAGAGGAAGAAAGGCAATAAGCAACTAAATAATAAATGAATGAAGTAATTTCAGATAGGGTTAAGTGTTATAGAGGAAATAATTGGAATGATGAAATAGAGAAAACTGGAGAGGAGGTGCAATAAGTTAAGGAAGATACAGTAGTTTATTGTGAATGAAGGTCCAGGGAATGCCTCTTTTTTATTAGATATGATTACTGTACCAATATCTGTGGTCATGCCTCCTCTACCACATTACAACTATCAGTGCTTTACAATATTTCAAGAACTCCATGAATATTTGTAGATTGGTGACTTTATTTCAGAATTGATGGAGAAAATATCATGGCTAAGAGTATAGATTCTAGCATCAGACTGCCTAAGATTGGATCCTTGCTTTGTCCTTTACTGACAATGTAGTTGGAGGGAAGTTACTTAATCTTGTTGACTTTCTATTTCTTCTAGTTTATCTCTAAAATGGGAAAAATAGTATTACCTACATGATAAGGAGGATTAAATAGGTTAAGATATGTAAAGAGCTTGTGTATTACATTTTCTGGTTATCCACTCCAGAATTCAGTGGCTTCAAGTAACAGGCATTTTATGATATCTCACAATTTTCTGGGTCAGAAATGTAGGCAGATCTCAAAAGGGCAATTCTTCTCCTTCATTCTTCTGTTTCATCGGTTGGCCATTGGTGGTATTTGGCTGGCAAATGAGCTGGTTGGGAGGTCCAGGTGGCTTTACCCACATATCTAGCATGTGTAGGTATGACTGGAAGGCTGAAAAGATTGACCAGATGTCCTACTTGTGACCTTTCCAGCAGACCTTCTCAGGATAATCAGATTTCTTATGCAGAAGCTCAAGACTCTGAGACAGAGTGTTTTAAGAAAAGAGAAATAGGTGCTGCCAGATTTTTAGGGGCCAGGTCCAGAAACTAACACAGAGACAGTTTTGTCCTGTTCAACTCATCAAAGCCATTAGAGATACAACCCAGATTGAGGGAGGAATTCTAGATTCCATCTCTCTATGGGAAAAATATCAAAAAATGTATAGCCATCTTTAACCTGCCACACTATCTACAGCACTTAGAAAGTACTAGTTAAGACTCTAAGCTATAATTATTTTATCTTGTTTTTACCTTTCAAAAACTCTGGTTATGTTTATTTCAGATTGAGTAGCAAAATCAACCTTTAGCCTTGATTTCTCTTTACCTTTTCCGTCCCTAATTTTTAAAATAGCCCTCATCAGTAGGTGCCAGTTGGAGATTTAAAAACAGGCATGCCCTATACAAGCCAGTGAGTATTAATTGTGAGTGTTTCCCTCTCATGGTAGCAACAGTTTTTATTTATGTCATAAGTCACACATATCTTGGTTTCAGTATATTCATTGGTAGCCCATAATCCCACTAATATTACCACACAGCTGTGTGTGTTTCTTCTTCAGAGAACAAGGGAACAAGACTTAGCAGCAAGGTGATATCTGAGTACATTAAAATTCATAGTGAACAATAAAATGTTTCTTGACCCATATACGACTTGACTGAACCCCAGTTTGTTACTTTTTTCTCCCCAATATCAACAAAATCTTCCAAATTAAAACAGCAGAAACACAAAGCCACATAAAAAGTTGAACGAGTTCACATTTTAAAATTTCTTGTAAAAGACTGATGATTGTGTGACCTTAATCTAAACAGACATTTCCTGTAACCGCTTATGCCCCATAAGGAATCTGCAGCTAATAGGGCCTCTGCATTCTTATCTATTGGCTTGGCTGTCTGAATGAGTATGTATTTGCTTTGACCATCTGCTCCTATCCCTCATTTTTTATTTAATTTTTTTTCAGATTTAATACTGTCCTGAGGTACACAAATGCTCTTTTTGGTTTGTGAAGCTCAAGGTCAATTTAAAGGCAAGTCCCTAGAGAAGTGAGCATTTGTGACTAGGTCATCTATTTCCCTGAATCTGTTACAGCTTTTGAGACGTATGTAAGAAGGAGAAAGCAGATAAGCCAAATTGGTTTTTGAGACGAGGGGCACCTACAAATGTAGCACTATTGACCATGAAAGTGTAGCATAATAGTATTTATTTGGAAAAAGATCCATTTGATCATTTTATCCTCTGGGAAGCTACAATGTCTACATCTTTCTTTTATTAAAAAGTTCGTTAGAATGTAACCCATTCCACCCTCTTCAACCACACCCCCGCCCACGCAGCCCCGGTTTTGTCTATTAAACAAATTCTGTTTTGAGATCATTTTCCCTAAGTTTCCCAGAATTACTACTCCCCCCTCTCAAAACTGTTTTAATTTGTGTAACAAGGCTACTCCAGAGGGATATTTGCTAGCAGGAGTATTGATCCAGTAATGGAGTTGCAGTTCAATTGCGGTGACAAGAAGCCCGATTTTTTTTTTTTTTTTTTTCCTTTAAGGATGATCAAGATATTTAGATTCCAGAGGGTAAAATTTGCACATGAAATCACCTGATTTTCCTCGTGACATTACGTTTTACTGCTTAGGCAATACACTTGCCTTAGCAGTTTGTTAGAAGTTCACACATTTGCACCTTTTAAATAGCTTTCAAAAAGAAGGCTGTGATTCTCTCTCGGGGAGAGAAAAATTGCCCTCTCACAAGTGGGAAGTTGATATTCCTTGGAGACCACCGGTCTTCTCATGTGTGACATTATTCCCATTCTCATACTGAGACTCTTACAGACTTTATGTGAAGCACAGTGTGGTGGAAGGAACACTAATGAGGAGCCAGGAGGCCTGGCTTTCATACTCTTCTGCTCTTCATCAGCTGCTGATGCTGGACTAGGCACTTAACCTTTCTGACGGTCCTCTTCCTCTGCCATTTTAAAACAAGCATAAGTTGCTATGTGATCTTACGGGCTCCTTTCCATTCTAAAAGACAAACCAAGGTATAACAAGCTTAAAATATTAATAGCTTTGGTATGAGTTGAAAATGGACAGTGTCAAAAAAAAAACTTTAAATCATTTTTGTTTTAATGTATTCCTTAATGCTAGTGTGAGAAACTCATTTCTTTCATCTGAGATTTTTAACCAAAAGCTGGCCCTGTTGTCCTCACTTCTGATGAGACAATCTGAGAACCTTGCATAGGGTGTGGATGTGGAACATGTTGAGCTGATGTCAGAGTTTCAGTCACCTTTACACAGCAGCGTTTCCCATCAGACTGATGTTCACACTTCTATTTCTGGCAGCAACCTGCTTGGCCACAGGGTT
Source organism: Homo sapiens (assembly GCF_000001405.40). NCBI lineage: Eukaryota > Metazoa > Chordata > Mammalia > Primates > Hominidae > Homo > Homo sapiens. Next base: position 42,051 of record NW_003315967.2, read on the forward strand.
TGTACAATTTCTCTTTTTTTCTCAACACAGCAATTTCCCAGTGCATGTAAACTCTGTGTTAATTATTTTGGCTATTAACTAGGAAAGAAGAAAAGCTCACATTTGCTAAATCCAGAATGACGGAGTGGATTCAGAAGTGCTCTCTCAACAAAGTGGTTTACACTCTGGAGCTAATGCAAACTCTCTTTGTTTCAATGTATTGCTCGCAAATATTGATTAATCATTTTTCTTTATTAGCTTATGCCCTCTTGGTGGTATAATGCATTTGACTTTCCTTCTGTCTTCCAGGAGAGTGGGATATTATAAACCTGAGCTGACACTTCAGCAAAAGGGTTCCAGAGGTTTCTAGAGATGGGGAAACAGATGATTAATGTCAGTCTCCTCTAATAAAAAATAAACGTTAGAGAGAGAGGGTGTGTTTTTTCTTACGTCCTTTAAAACCTTGTGCTATGAGTATGCGACAGTAGTGAGGCAGAAGACACTATGGTGAAATCATTCAGTTCAGGAGGCTCATTCTTCTATTAATTCCACAGTGCTTCCTGGACACAGTTTTCTGTGCCTTTTAAAGAAGGGCCAGAGGCCTATTCTAAAACCTGTATGGCTGTCAAATAAATATCACTGTGCCGGCAAAAGAGAGATTCTGGTTGAGGCCTTTCCCTCTTAACTACCTAAGGACTGTATATTTTTAGGTACAAAGGAAAGAATTAAGCTGCCTTTTGTGTCCCAGTTGATAAGCATAGTCTTAACAGTCAGAACTCTCTGGCTCTAAGCATGAAAAGAAACTTTTAGTTTACACATAAAAGGGGTGCTTCACACACAGGACAAGGAAATGGGAAGTTATAAGGACCCCGGACATTATCTCCCTGTACATCTGTTTTCTTCTCAAGCTGGTTTTTATCACTCAGTCAACACCATGGGGAAGATAGCCACTTCACAGGCCTTGAGATCTCTATCTTATTTTAGGAAAACGGAGCATACTAAACCAAGGGCGTTTCCCTCTCAGTTCTAAATTCAGCAGGAGAGGATTTTATTGTCTCAGCTCATGTCAAACAAGTACTTTTCCTTGAATTAATTAGGGGAAGGGGGTTTGGTAAAGAAACATATATGTGGCTGCCAGGAAGATCCTCTCACTGCCTCTTCATCTTCTCTACCACTATGAATGAAAGAAGCCAGTCAAGAATGATTACCTAAAGGACCTTTGACCACTGTCAAAGACCTGAACTTTCATAGCCACACCCGAAAGTAAAACACAACGTATGTTCTCAATTGATCTGCCTTGTAGATGCTTGTCAAGAGGGGTTTTACCTTTGTGCCAATATAGAAAGTAGGACCCAAAGCTGTGGACAAGACATACTCTTATTACCATTTCTTTGAAATTTAGACACTGTTACTGACTTTTTACTGCAGAAGAGAGGGATTTTACTCCCCTTCACAGCCGACATCCTTACCACACCAACACTCATGCCTGTTCCTCTCTCCTATTCCCACATTTATATGCACCACTGTCACACAGCACATTTCCTGTTTCCACAATATCAATTTTGGATAGAACAATAATTCGTGTTTATATTATTATTAATATGTAAATGTTATTTACATAGAACTATGTAAAATATAGCATAAGCCAGAATTGGTTAATCCATACTGTAGTAACAATCAACACCAGAATTTCAGTGGCTTTCCGTCGTGCAAAATCAGCTCCAGGTTCAAGTGACTCTCCAGGGCATTTGTCCTTCATGCTTGACACAGCTATCCAGAATGTTCTGATCTTGTGGCTGCACCCACTCAATAATAATTTCAAAGGGAAAGGAGAGAGAGAAGGGAGTGGAAAATCCAGGGGCTTTTCATTGCTTCAGACCAGAAGTGATCATTTGTTATTTTTGCTCACACTTAATTGACTCAAACTAGTCACATGGCTTTGTCTAATTGCATGGATATTGGGATATGAAATTTTCAGGAGGGAAAACTGAATGGGATATTGGTGATGTCTATTACATGTCAGATTACTTTTTCTCTTTTTTCCACTTTTTGTTGAGTTTAAAAATTCCTGAAGGTTATACTTATTTTGTTATTTTGTTTACTCATATAAAATATGAGTTTCATCTACTTGACCATATCTCCCCTTTAGCATTTTGACCAGTTTCAATCTCGACTGGGTTTTCTCCATAACAGTTTTGGAGTTGTTTTCCTGGGACTCTTTCTGCCTCTCACTTTGAGTTGATCCCAAATATTCCTCTTTTGGTTTTACATCTTCACTTTGATGGAGCATGTCGTACATGATTTCTTGAGATGGGTACATTGGAGGTAAATTTTTCAATAACTCATATATCTAAAAATGCATTTCTAAATTTCATTTTTATATCTAAAAATTTCTTTATTTTACATCATTTTATTTTTACTTTGAGATTGTGGCTGGATATAAAAATCTAGTTTGAAAATAACTTTTTCACAGGATTTTAAAGGCATTTTTTTGTTTTATCTCTTGTAAATAGTGCTTCTGTGGAGAAAGAGCATTTTTATTCTGGTATTTTATGTCTTTTTCTTTTTCCTTTTGAAACTCTTGTAGAATCTTTGTTTCTAGCATTTTGAAAGTTTGCAATGACGCTTAATGTGTATCCATTGCATTGGCCACTCAATGGGTCTTTCAAATTGAATGACTCTTCAATTCAGAGAAATTTATAGAAAACAAATTTAACTTATTTTTTTTCTCCTGTTAACCTTTTGGTATCTCCTATTTTGTGAATATTGTACCTCCTATACTGGTCCTATAATTTTCCTATCTTTTCTATTTTATATTTAGTTTTAAAATATCTTCTTTTAATGTTTTTACTTAATTTTTAATTTCTACTTTAATATTTTAGATTTCAAAAGTCTCTTTCTTATGGTTTTTTTTTTTTTGTCTTTTTTTTTTTTTTGGTAGAAGTGGCAGTTCTTGTTCCATGGATGAAATAACTTATCTTTTTTTCTCTGAGAATATTAATAATGCTTTTCCCCCATCTCCTTGAATAGATTCCCTTTTCTTCAAGTTTCATATTGCTGTTGGCTTATTTTGGTTCGTTTTTCATGTTAGAAACTTTCCTCAGATATCTTGTGATTTTTGGATGTATGCTTATGTATGAGGATTGCTCACTATAAAGCTGACTGGAATGTTTGTATGTATGTGTGTATGTGTGACTTATTGATTATAGGTTTAACTGTAAACTGTTCTTATTAGGTGATCTCATAGGGGATCCTAAATCAATAGGTTTAGATCTTTTTCTTGTAAATAGCTCAGATTCTTCGATAAAAATTCTCTCATGCATGGATGGTATAAATCTGTCTACCAGCATCCCTAGAGCTAGGAGGAAAAAATAGGACTGGGGATTTCAATATAAATGTATAGACTTTTACTTAGTTCCCATGTTTTCAGTACAGAATACTTGGTTCAAAGTTCTGGTATTGGTATCTCTTAATTCTGAATCGCTCTGCACTACATTCCACATTCTAAATCTCTGGTATTCTGCCAGTGTGAAAGTGGCACAGATCTTTGGCTGAGCAGCATAGAAGGGGAAATCTTGAAGTCTTATTGCCTCTCATACAGGCTTTCAATAAGTCCTCTTATTCCTAGTTCACATTCCCTTGTACTTCTACATGTTAATGGTCTCCCCTAGATTCATGAGATTTTTGAGAGTGTATGAAGCAAATTGAATAATTTTTTTTTCAAATCTACTTACTGCTAGCTTAGGATTTAGCTTCCTGGGGTCTCCAAATTATTTCTTACTTATTCTGCCTTCCCAAATGTTGTGATTATTGTTTTTTTCCCTATGCTGTTTTTCTAAGTTGGAAAACCCCTTATATTGACACTTAAAATTGTATTATGAAAATTTTCAAGCATGTACAAAATTTTTAAGCATGTAAAAAGTACAGAGATAATAATAATAATAAGCTTCTATGTACTCACTTAGCTTCAACAAGCACCAATATATTGTCAATGTATTAATCAACCCCTCTTCTCCTCCTATTCCAACTTCCCACTAGAATGTTTTAAAACAAATCCTAGACACACATAATTTAATTTATAGGTAATGCTCACATTAATGTAACAGGTAAAGACTTAAAAAACCTAATTGTAAAACAACATCAGTAATTATTTAAGATAACCTAGTACCAAAATCCATTTCAATTCTCTCTGATAATCAGAAAAAGTTGTCTTCTTACTTTTCTTTCTTTTTTAAAAAAATTAGAATCTTCATACTGTCTGGCTGATCAGCAAGCAAGCATAGTTGACCCAGTCATCAAACATGAGAAATATGACTGCTGTATCTCCACCCATTTCTGTGGAAGGTTGGTGGCATAGGTAGACATGACCACATGCCCACGACCACTTCAGGAGTCTTCGTTTAAGTCTTTTACCCAAGCACATTTGTTGACAGTGTCTTTAGTCATGCTCAGAAGTGTTATGATTTGGACAAGAAATTATGTAGTCACTCTACGCATATGGACAGGTCCTATCACCAATGGAGAAAGCCCATAAGGAATTTTAATACTTTATTTTCTCTACAAGTCTTAGGTCTTGCAAAGGCCCTACTTTTTAAAATGGGCTCACAATATCCATTCCTCTTCTTTTACCCACTTCCCATTTGAAGAGGGGATTGAATAGTCAGGTTACTTTCCTTTATAGTGTGTAGCATGCTCTTGAGGTATTGCTCAATGTCTTCAGTCCAGAACTTCAGTCTGGGCATGGAATTCTCATTCTACAACCCTAAACTTGAAACATTGACCTTGGGTACAAATGTGAGATTCACTAATTTGAGGGTGGAGATGATTCATAGTACAGTTATTATCATTCTTTAATTAATTACCTGAACAGCTCCTTGTGGCCTGTTCCATCTCCCAGACCCTGTGCCTTTTGTTCTTTGTGTGATTTGGTGCTTAAAAAAAAATCATTTATTTTGAGCTCTTCTTTGTTTGTAAAGGACTTATAGTTCTGCAGCTATGTTAGATTTCATTGTCAGTCTGTTCCCACTTGCTTCATATTATCTTCCAGGAATTCTTTGCTTTTCTGGTTTGTGGTGGTGTAACACCTGACTTTCAAGTGCTTTTATGAGTTTACTTTTTATCATTTTACTTACTGTGTCATTAGAAAAGGGATTTGAGGAAGCAGGGAAGGAAGCTTAACTCAAGAGTGTTCGGTAAGCCATCATGAATGAGAACCTCTATGTGTTTTTTCTTATTATTACAGACTTCTTGAAATTTTATTTCAATTTTTCTCCAGTTTTATATATATTATTTATTTTATATTATATATATAAACTTGCAGAGACAATCTTCCAATAGAAAATCTACTGAATATGACAACAGATGTGCATAGTCATATGCGATCTATAACTGCTAAAATCTCTCACCCAAGAAAAAAGAGATGGGCTTATTCTCCACGATTATAAGGAGAAGTTCTACTAGAAAATTAGAATTCTATTCAAGAAAGATAGATAAAACTGATGTGATTCAGAAAAATGCAAATAAAAATGGTAATTAATTGCCACTACACTCTCACCAGAATGGGTAAATGAGAGAGACTGATATCACCAAGTGTTGGCAAGGATGAAGAGTAACCAGAATTTCTTTACCAGATGGTAGGAGTAAAAGCTGGTAAAAACCATTAGGAAAACTGGCATTGTCTACTAAATCTGAGCACACACAAATCCAGAAATTTAACTTCTGAGTTTATATCCTATAGAAATGCATATATAAGTGCACCAAAAAACACTTAAGAGAATGTTCATAGCAGTATTGTTTTTCAGAAGCCTGAAACTGGAAAGAACCAAATGTCCATCAACAGAAAAATGAATAAGCAAATTATAAATACCCATACATTAGCATACACAGCATATTAATACTATATAGCAATAAAAATGACAAACTGCTGCTACATACAACAGAGCTCAATCTCACAAAAGTTATGTTGAACAAAATAACAGACACAAAAGTGTACAAAATTGTATATATTGTATGATACCATTTAGAGAGTCTGAGAGGAATAAAAAGTAATCTATGGCATTAGATATCAGGACAGTAATTACCTTTGGGGAGAAGGAAGGATATTGGGTGATGGAAATGGGTACAAAGTGAGACTTCGGGTGTTGGTAATGTTCTTTGTTGTGTTATCATGGAAATTTTATGAGTGTGTTTAACTTTTGATAATTCATCAAATGATATACCAATTTTGTGCATGTATACAATTCTTCAATTAAAAAGCTCCAAAAGAAACCAACCTGCTTAAAATAAATAAATGTCATTATATCTAATATAAATGAACCGATCCAATTCCAAAATTATTACATTTCTGTATTAAGCTTATTAATACTCTTTATTTGCATGGTAGTCAACAATTTTCAGAGCATTCTTAAGTAAACTATGTCATTTAGCTTCATGCCATCATAATGAATTATTATACATTTAATTTTAGATTTGTTTAAAAAACTGGAATAATTCTTTCAGAGAGTTGCCCTGTGACATTTGTGGCAAATAATAGAGTTGAGACTAGAACCCAAGGCTATTGAGTCTTCACATACCTTTCACCGTACTTACTGATCCTGTAATCTCAGGATCTTGAATAGATTTTTTTTTTCTTATGTTTTATTCCCTCAGAATCTTTCTGTTAGACAGCGTATCCTAAAAAACCAAACTAGGCAATTTATTAGTGAATGTATGAGTAAATCACATTGTAAAATAGGTGCAAACCAAAAATAAAATTCCAAGCTCCCCAGCCAACTGACTGGAACCCCCTCTCAACCAAGGAGATTCCAAAGAAACCTGAGAAACTAGTTCAGGCCGTGATAGGAAGTGAGGGTCAGACGTGCTTCATTATACCCTGTCCCTTCTGGAGTGTTCAGGCACAACTGACCAGCATTAACATTAAAACAGAGATATTAAGACTGACAGAACAGACTCTTTGTAGCAAGAAGATACTAAATTCCAACCTGACTCCAATGTAGCATTACATGACAGATAGCAGATCCTGGAGGAAATATACATCCCAAAATATATTTCTTTGTCATATTTTGGAATGGACCCACAGAGCTGTCTCTTGTGAGGGAAATTTGAATTCTGTAAAGACTCTCCTTCCCTTATTAGGTCTTTACCAGAGAGTCTGGCACCTTTTAAGGCCCAATTAGAGACATTCACGTCTATTCTCTCTGAAGCCTGCTACCTGGAGGCTTCATCTACATAAGAACCTTGGCTTCCACAACTCCCACCACCCTTACCTTAACTCAAGCAGATTTAAACTCTTTAGACAAAGCTTAATTCTTTCAACCAACTGCCAATCAGAAAATCTTTTAATCTACCTATGACCTAGAAGCTCACCCTGCACCCCCTTCCCAAGTTGCTTCAAGATATCCCACCTTTCTGGGCTGAACCAATGTATACCTTACATGTATTGATTTATGTCTCTGCCTGTAATTTCTGTCCCATTAAAATGTATAAGATCAAGTCGTAATCTAATCACCTTGGGCTCATGTTCTCATGGCCTCCTGAGGCCGTGTCACGGGTCACAGTCCTCATATTTGGCTCAGAATAAACCCCTTCAAATATTTTACAGACTTTGACATTTTTCATCAACAGGAGCTTCTTTAAAAAATTCTCTCACCCACAGGTAAGATAGGTACCAAGGCAGCTTGATCACAGTGGTTTGGAATACTTTGTTTTCTGACTATGTTATTTTCAGATATGTGGCCTTCAGATCACATTATACTAGTGAGTAATTATGCTTGTATGTAGACTGAGGTTGGTTTGAGGGAAAACAATCATTAACAAAATAATGCATTTGTTACTTGGAATTCTAGAAGTTTTCTGAGCTCAAAGTACAGGGCAAGAGAAGTGGAAAGAGGTCAAATGTAGACATCTGAAGATATACTCATCTCGCCACAGGTATGCTGGGATTTTAAAGCACCATCCTGCAGTTTACACTTAAGTTCAACTACCTGATAGGAGGTATATAGTAGGAAGAGCATGGAGAATACATGTTCTAACTTGGGATGAGATTGGGAATGTTCAGGAGATGGAAGAAGTGGGAGGTAAAAATGAGAAAGCAAGGAGGCCAAATGTACTTTTAAAAGCCAGAGGGTTGTGCTCATTCAAACAACCGGGCAATCCTCCATTATCAAGAATGCAAGACCCATTGTCCTTTTCTTTCTCTTTCAAGTTCCTTGTAACTTAAGCTCCAAATTTTTTCTTCGTATCTTAATTTCCTCTTTAAGTTTTTCCTTGATTCTCTTAGTCCATTGTCTTCATGTGAATGATATGTCCTTGCTCTGGCTGTATTTGCTATACACTCTTGAGAGATTTCTGAATTTATCCTCCATTTCTAACCTTGGAAATCTACAAAGAGAGGCTTAAATACAACTAAGCCATGCCATATAATGACCAAAACAAACAAACAAACAAACAAACAAACAAAGCATGGCTAGGCACTGGTTTGTTTTGTTTATGTTTCCAAACAATTTTAGATTGTTTGGAAATTATGGTTTTATAAAAGGAAAATGAACCAACAATTTTACAGTGCTTTCTAGAATTTGTAAACATGAAAGACTTCTCAATGGAAATCAGTTTATAACTGTAACTGCCCAACGGGTTCACCTTGCCCACGGCCTAGAGAGAGCCCATTTATCAAGACAGGGGACTTGCAATTGAGAAAGAGTAATTCACGCAGAGGCGGCTGTGTGGGAGACTGGAGTTTTATTATTACTCAAATTGGTCTCCCTGAAAAGTCGGATACGGAAGGTTTTAAGGATAATTTGGTGAGTAGGGGCTCGAGAAGTGGGGAGTGCTGATTGGTTGGATTGGAGATTAAATAATTGGGGGTCAAAGTGGGTTCTTGATGGCTTCTGTTCCTAGATGGGATCTCAGAACTGGTTGAGCCAGATTACCCTTCTAGGTGGTGTCTGTCATCTGCTGCATTGGAGTGCAGGGTCTGCAAAAGATCTCAAGCATTAATCTTAGGCTTTACAATAGTGATGTTATTCCCAGGAGCAATTTGGGGAGGTTCAGACTCTTGCAGCTGGAGGCTGTATGACCCCTAAACCATAATTTCTAATCTTGTAGCTAATGCGTTAGTCCTACAAAGGCAGACTGGTCCCCAGGCAAGAAGGGGTCTTTTCGGGAAAGGGCTATTATCAAATTTGTTTCAGAATCAAACTATAAACTAAATTTCTTTCCAAGGTTATTTAGGCCTATGCCCAGAAATGAAAAAGGACAGATTAAAAGTTAACAGGAAAATGGAGTTGGTTAGGTCTGACCTCTTTCACGGTCGTAATTTCCTCAGTTATGATTTTTGCAAAGGCGGTTTCATAACATTCAAACTTAATGCCCATATGCTTCTGTCAGATCAACGGTATAATCAGGGAAATAGTTTACTAAGAATGCGTGTCACTCTAAAATGGTACCTGAACCTTTTGTCATCCACAGCATAATTTTAACAGCTTTGATAAGGGACATTTTTCCCAATCAACCTTTGCTACTCTGAAGACATGATACAAATTTTTGAGTAAACAATGTCTAAATCAAAGTGCAATGTTTATTCTCAAATACATATTTAAGTCAATGTAGTCTTTTTAGTTTGATTAGATGTGAATTTCTCATACTTTGTGCTATATTAAGAAATAACCATCTAAGTTTTTCTCTTTTTGTTCACCTAAACATTTTCTTCTCCTACATTAAGATACACAAAGGCAGTGAATTATAATTTGTTAATGGTGATCATAATAACTCAATACATGAGAAATTCAAATTTTTTTTCATTTCAATACAAATAAGTTTTCAGGACAGGCATACAGAGAAAAACTTGAGTGCATTCTGCTTTGTTTGGCTCATTTAGAAGAAAAACTGTAGCAGGTAAAATCGGTGGGGAAAAATTAGACAAGTTTATCTTTTAAAAATTATTTTCATTGTGGAATAATACATGTTCACATATAAAAGCACAGAAAGGCCTAAACAAGAAAAGAAATGTCTAGAGAACCATTATTAATATTTTTCTATTTCTGTATAGGTTCTTCCCTATATATACATACATATAGTGTGTACTTGGGTGCCTGTATTTCATATATATGCACACACATAGATATACACAGAAACACAGGATATGTATGTGTGTATATATGCATTCCTACAGCTATATATTCTGTTTTACAATTCTTAAAAATTAACAATAAAAGATTAGTAAATTCTAATGCTACAATATACAATCTGGAAAAAAGAAAAATCAACTATTCCTTTACTGCACATCTTATGTTATTAAGCATTTACTATATGTTGCTTCTGTACTCAGTGCTGTGGTCACAATTTCTGCCCTAGAGAGCCATCAATTTAACAGAAAGATTAAACAGACAATTTTGCAAGAATGATAAATTCTGTAGTAGAAGAATGCCCAGGATGATATGGGAACACACAGCAGGGAATTTAATTCATACTGGAAGTAACCAGGATGTTTTTTCAGAAAAGGTTCACATCTGAGCTACGTATTTAAGGGTCAGTATGAGTTTCGGTGAAGGAGGTGGGTCTAGATATGGGGAGGTAGGTGGCAGATCAGCTTGAAAGTTACGAGAGTAGAGCACATTAGAAAAAGTGAAGGCAGTCTCCCATCACCACAGGATAGGGTAACGAGAGAGGTGTGGTGAAGTGATGAATGATAAGGCTAGAGAATTAAGTAGGAACAGATAATTAAAAATCAGTGTAAGTGTTTGAATTTCATTCAGAAAGTACTTGAGAGCTAAGGAAACATTTTAAACTGGGCAGTGGTGTAATCAGATTTGCAATTTCGAATGCTCTACTGAGCAGTCTGGTGAGTGCATTGGAAAAGATGAAGTATAGAGTTATGGAGACTAGTGAGAATTGATAATGATTCTGTGAAAGGAGATAAATACATACATATACTGAAGAAGAGGCAGTGGGGAGGAAGGGGAAGGGGTAAACCTGACGGTTAAGTTTTGACAGTAATATTGCTGGGACTGAGTGATTGTGTGTGAAGTATGAAGGAGAGGAAAAAGACAATGGTAATATTTGGATTTATAATTTGAAATCTAGATGGATGATTGAGCACTGTAGAGAATAAGATTTTAGAAAGAAGATGAGTTTCATTTTGAACAGATTGGGTTTGAGATTCATGTGGAACATTCAAAATAAGTCATTAGGTAGAAGGGCTGAGCTGAAAATTTAGAGTGGCTTGGATGACAGATCAGTGTATCTCAACTTTGTTATACATAATAAACAGCTTTTAAAAAATTTTATCGTCTATGCTACATTCCACACCAACTAAATCAGAATCTCTAGGGGCAGGAACCAAGCATTGACATTTCTTTCTTTTTTTTGTTAACTTTTATTTTAAGTTTAGGAGTACATGTGTAGGATGTACAGGTTTGTTACATAGGTAAGTGTGTGTCACGGGGTTTGTTGTACCAATTATTTCATTACTCAGGTATTAAGCCTAGTATGCATTAATAATTTTTCCTGAGCCTCTCCCACCTTCCACCCTCCACCCTCCAACAGGCCTCAGTGTGTGTCATTCCCCTGTATGTGTCCATGTGTTCTCATCATTTAGCTCCACTTGTAAGTGAGAATATATGGTATTTGGTTTTCGGTTGTGCATTAGTTTGCTAAGGATAATGGCTTCTAGCTCCATCCATGTCCTGGCAAAGGACATGATCTTGTTTTTTTTATGGCTGTGTAGTATTACATGATATATATGTACCACATATTCTTTATCCAATCTATTATTGGTGGGCATTTGGATTGATTCCAAGCCTTTGCTATTGTGAATAGTTCTGCAGTGAACATACGGGTACATGTATCTTTATAATAGAATGATTTATTTTCCTTTTGGTGTATACCCAGTAATGGGATTCCTGGGTCAAATGGTATTTCTGACTTTAGGTCTTTGAGGAATCATCACTGCACTGTCTTCCACAATGGTTGAATTAATTTAATTTACACTCCCATTAACAGTGTATAAGCATTCCTTTTTCTGCACAACCTCTCCACCATCTGTTATTTTTTGAATTTTGATAATAGCCATTCTGATTGGTGTGAGATGGTATCTCATTGTGGTTTTGATTTTCATTTCTGTAATGATCAGTGATGCTGGGCTTTTCTTCATATGCTTGTTGGCCACATGTATGTCTTCTTTTAAAAAGTGTCTGTTCATGTCCTTTGCCACTTTTTAATGGAGTTTTTTTTTTTCTTATACATTTGGTTAAGTTCCTCATAGAACGCACTGACATTTCAAAAACTCCTTGGATGGTTCCAGTGGGCATCCCAAGATTTAGAATCACTCTCCCAAAGAGATGACATAGACCAGTGGATCTCAATGTTGATTCCACAGTAGAATCATTTGAAGTGCTTTAAAAATTCTCAAGATGCAGGTCATGTCGTGCAAGCATTAAATGGGAGTATAAGGAGACAGAGCCCAGATAGTAATATTTTTGATACCAGCTTTATTGAGGTATAATTTGCATAATATATAATTCATCCTTTTGAGGTGTACAATTTGATGTTTTTTAGTATACTAAGTTTATATGGACAATTCATATCAGTGGTGTTATACGATATATGTTCTCAAATGTGGCTTTAATGTTGAATTGAAATAGGAATAACAAACATCCTTGTCTTGTTTCTGATCTTAGAGGAGAAGTATTCATTTTTTAATGATTAATTACAATGTTAGCTCTGGGTGTTGTTAGTTTGTTGCTATGGATGCTTGTTTGTTTATTGAGTTTCCTGAATTAATTGTGAAGAGTCTGATTTTCTGTCATGCATACCCCTCAATATCTCTGATCAGTTAGCTTAGCGGTCAGCTAATGACTTCACATAGATTTCTTTGAATGCATTAAACTAGTAAGTTGCTGTCATTTTGCTGAAGGGCTTTGGGCGCGTGTGTTTGAGGGGAATATTTCAACACTCCAGCAGGCAGTTTGAAAACTCTTCTTTAGCCTTCGTTTCCTGCTTGTGCAAAGCCTCAGACTTATCCACAGGTGAGAGATTAAGGCCTTCCCAGGTCTTTTCTGCGCTTGTGCACATCCCTGCAAGTGCATATGATCTTCTAGAGTTCCAGGAATATGTTAGATATTTTCAACACTCCATGTGAAAATCTCATCCCCTGGTTTTTTCTTTTAAAGTTTTTGGTCTGTTACTTAACCCAACTTGTGTCACTGCCTCAGCTGCACAATTGAATAATTGCCACTGATTGATTTTAACAAATTCCTTAAGGACAGGGCTGTTCATACCAAACGAGCTGCTGCCTCAAATTTGAGTCAACTGTCAGTCACATCAGATAAAAACAAGCCCTGAGAATGAAAGTGCTAGTGAGGTGAATAGTGACAGTTCTCTAGGGATAGGATTTTCCAGGAACTCCAAACCCATTCACTCCCTCCCAGTGGCTCCTAGGCTTCTGGAGTTTACAGTTTGTGTAGCTTTTGGTTGGAAGGCTACCATGGACATAGGGAGGGGGAATAGGGCAGATTTAAATGCCACAAAGCTTGCTGTTTTTACCAAGGGCCAGTTGATCTTCTGGAATAAATGTTCCTCAAATTCTCGCAAGCCTTTGCTTAATTGCTAGAGTTCTGGCAAAATTAATTTTTTTCCTTTTTCAGTAGTATTCGCTGTCTTTTTTTTTTTTTAATGGAGGAGAGGATTTATGGAGGTCTGCACTTTGCCATTCAAAAGGGTTTCCTATTATAATTTGTATACCACCTTATAGATACCCATGTTCAGGAAAAGTTGAAAAACACTGGTTTTTACAGAAAAGAAGATCAAGGGCCAGATTCTAGAAAACACAAACATTTAAGACCAGGAAGAGGAGGAGGAGCAAGAGCTTATAAATAAGGCAGATAAGGAATGGTTCTGAAATGAATGGGCTTATAAAAAGTAAAAGAGAAAAGAGTTTTAGGAATAGAATAATTAAAGCTATTGAATGCTGCCTACACAGATTAGAAAGTTGATTGAAAAATACTGATTTGAATTATCTACAAAAAAGTCACTGAGATTTTTTTTTAGAACAACTTCAGTGGAGTGATGGGGCAGAATCCTGACTACAGTTAAGTTGTTACATAAATAGGAGGTTAAAAAAGAGAAAATAATTATAGGTAACTCGGAAGGAGCCGGACTGAGAAAGGAAGGGGAGAGAATATAGGCTGGAACAAGACATGAAGTAAAGAAAGTTGCATTCTCCCAGGGCTCAGTTTAACTGCTCTATTTATTATTCATAAATTTTCTTTTTGGTATCTGTTCTAGACCATAGGGCTACCACTAGTCATTTGGACTTGTGGGTGAGGAGAGTGACCTTTCTCCCATTATGTAATGAAGAAATGTAATCCTAAATATTAGTCATGGCTCTAAACAGATTCTCAATGAAATGGTGGCGACAAATAATAACTGGACCTATGAGGGGCAGTAGACTGAAGCATGCATGAAGTCTGAGAAAACTGAGATTAAATCCCTGCTTCACCACCCTGCTGGTGCTAGCTGTATGACCTTGACCTAAAATTACTTAGGCTCTCTTGACTTTGCTTTCCTCATGTGAATAATAACACTAATCATTCAAGATTGTCATGTGGGTTAATTGAGATAATGCCCAGTCTTGGCAATAAAGAGAACTCCTAGTTCTGCCTCTTGGATGCTGTGTTAGAATGGAAGAGTTAGCTTTTTAATATCTCCATTTTCTCATCTGTAAAATAAAAAAGTTGGGTTATATAATCTTCATGCTTCTTTTCAACTTTAACTATATGAGCTTCCAATTTCTTTTAGTTCAGAGCTATTCTTCATGTACTTTGTGGGCTAGATAGATATTTCGAGTTGGCCTAGGACTTAAACCATTCTGTAGATGACAGTTTCCACTGGAAAAGGCATTCCAAAGAATTGACTTACAAACTGTGGAAGACAGCTCTGCCAAGCTGGGTAGTAGTTTTAAATAGATGGGCTTAACCTAGGATATATAATAGAAAGGGCTCACCAATGCATAGTTCAAATCCTTTAGAAATGAGCTTTGAAGAGAGGGGCAAGTGGCATAATATCAGATTTCAAAGTTAATTCTCTGTTTTGGGGGCTCCTGGATTGATCATTATAACCGAAATCTTTCTTTGTTTATGAATGTTTATAAATGCTAGCTTTTGGCAGTTGAGGAGACTTTGAAGCAGCAAACTGCACAAGGAAGAAGGACAAGTTTGAAGCCAGATAGGGTTCAGTAGGGGTAAAGCAGAGAAAAAGAGTAAATCGTTGGATGCAGGATGATTAGTAAGACCAGCAAGTGATATGAGTACCGAATTGGATAAGGGACTCAGAGACTCAGGAAAAGGGAGAACTGGAGGCCCGGTAAGGCTGAGATGGGCCAGAACAGGAAGAACAAACCAAAAGGATTTGCCTTCTCAGAGACTGATTTATTTTTCCCACCAATGATTTCAGCTTGTTTTGTTGAAGTCACCGATGCATTGTGGTAGAATTTTATCTGAGTAGGTAGTATGTAATTTAACCTCCCGTTTCAGGGCAATTAAAGACGTGCTCATTTTCTTTTAGCAGATTAGTGCTTTAAAGGTTAAGGAAAATTAACTTAGAGATTTAAAAGGAGATAAAATAATTAGGAAATAAAAACATTGAAAAACAATACTACATTCACTGTGATTTTATTAAAAATCAGTTTTTACACAACTTTTAACACATGGTATCCTATCGTTTCTGTCTAAATTGTAAAACTATGTCTGCTTTGACATTTTTTTCTCCCCCTGCTTATTTCCTTCAGGTGGCCTGTCACATACATTTATGTTTAAAATTAAAGATGGCCAATTTTCCTTTAAGGCTGTTCCAATTCCACACCACTTCTCGAAATAACTGGAGCTGTCCAGGATGGGCTGGGAATATCCCATCTACGTTGTCTGCCTTACTGGAGGCTTCGCATTCTCTCAGAGACACTTTGCTCATGTACACCATTTGGCAAGAAAGAGTCATTGGCATGTCCTTGGATGACCCCTTGTCTAAGTGGACTTTTTGGATGGTACTGTTGATCAATGGGGGCTTTGTAAGCGGGCAGGCCCCACTGCTGCCCTGAAGATCTCTTCTGCACCCTGCAAATGACACTAACATTATGAAAAATTTCTCCAAAGACAGATATTTTCAATTAGCCAAATTACTCTAACAGTAATTTAAATCAGGAAGATTTAAGGCAGAGCTAGTTCCTATGCCAGCCAAGAAGACTGCTCTGCCAGTTGAAAGGCAAGCACATCCTTCCCTGCCAACTTGCAATGAGATGGTTCTTGCAGTGACAGCAGATCTACCATGCACGTTTGATTTAAATCCCTCCATTACCATACCTTTGTAATTATCATCAGGCAATGATGAGTCCTGGGGAAAGTATGGATCTTAAATTCGAGGATCCAGAAGCCTAATCGAAATGCAGCACATGAAATGAATCTTTCTTCTTGGTATATCTCCTCTTTTCAACCAATTGGTCTTGATTTAAGTAAAATTGTAGCAAAACCCTGTGCCAATATTGTGATTCTTTTTCACTTTGCTAATCAAAATGTTGTTTCGCAAGGCTCTGATGGTGTTCAAGACACCTTATAGGAGGTATGGTTTTTCTTTAAGTTGGCTGGCATAGATCCTTTATTTCACATGAAGTCATGAGAACGATTTGTAAAGATTCCTTTGACTGGTAAATTCGCTTATTCTGGGATAGTGCTCTCACAATGATTCTATGAGGCAAATATTATATTGGTGATTTTTTTTGTTTGCTGTTCCTTAAGGTTAATGATATGTAGACTACTCTAAATCTACCTTTTTCCTACCTAGGGACTGTATGTTATTTAGAAAACATAAATTTCAGAGGATTTGTAAGGATGAGCGAGGTTGCTTTTTCTTTATAAGATCTAACTTCAATTAGCAACATTTTGTTAAATATCTAACTTTGCCCATTGCCCAGTGCTTTACTTATAGTTAAGCAACATGGTGTGAAGAAAGAGGCATAGGCTTAATTCCAGATCTCAGTACAAATCTGAATTCTTCTTACTTGTAAATTGGTGTGACCATGGATAGATATCTTTACCCCTCTACCATCCCAAATCTCTCCTACAATATGGTGGTATTGAAACTGACCCTCTCTAGTTCCTCTCCATCTTTGACACCTATGATTCTATGAATATGGGAATTCTCCTCTTGAAGAATTAACCATCAGCCCCCATGTTTAGTACTTACTATATAATTTTGTTTAAACAGTTATTTATGACATTCTCGCAATGCAAATTTAGGAACCCTTTTCTTCCAGGACTTCTCTTCCACCTGTCTTTTATTATTTCAGATAATGGAAATTTGAAACCAAAAAGAGATATATCAGCATTATTCTTATATTCATAGACTCAGGGTTAGAATGGAATTGGCTCCTTTTGGTTTGGGGAATAGTATCCTTCACTGGGACACCTTTATCTAATAGGCTCATTTAGCCTTTAACACTTGCCCACTTTGTATTACTATATTAAATACAGAGTGCTGCCTTACCAGCCAGATGATAAGTTCTTGTAGGTCTGGGGTCATGCTTTTGGGCTCCAAATATCTCTAGCACCTAGTATGTAACAGCTAGCCCACAGCTAATCACTTAATAAGTTGTACACCATGATTTTTTTTTCTAAGAAAAACCTTATGGAAGAATAGTACTAAAGATTTCCTTTTAATCACTGAAATGCAAACAATTTTCCACAACATCCAATGAAAACAGAATGTATAAATGAATCATTTGGTGTACTGTAATTAACAGAAGTCCAATTTGGTGTAATTAGTGTCAATTTATTTTTAATTGACAATTCCTCTTATACATCATATAGTATATAGCTAAGTATTTCTACTTCACAAATAGCTTACCTAGTACATAATTTTATGCTAAGTATCTGTGTAGTCTTTCTCCTCTTAAAACAATACGATAAAAAAATAGAAAACACACACACGCACATACAACTGTATACTTTGAAAACCAGAATATCTCAGTTTAGAAGGCAAATATCCCAGTCTCATGACTTTAGGGATGTCTCCCTTCACTGGGCTCTTCAGCTATGATTTGGCTCTATTGGTTCGGTACTGTGATGCATATGTTGTGATGGGATTGGGTTGCTATCATAGTCTTTGATATTGGTACTGCTTCTTCAGCTAGATTGCAAATTCATTGACAGAAAAGACTATGTATTTTATGTTTCTTTGTTCCAAGTGTCTAATAGAGTTTTATTTATTTAGAAAGTTCTCAATTAGTAGTTGCTGCAATCATGCAGGTAGGGCAATAGACACATTGCTCATTGAAAGCTCGCAATAAAATCAACAAATATAAATCTATTTATTAAGCTTCCTAATTTACAAACAAAGCAGAAATAGCTATTTTTATACTAATTAAACTACTGTAAATTTTGTATCCTGTTTGTCTTATGTGAAGAGGTATATTTTGATCTTTTAGGTGTTGCCATAGAGTTTAATCTGAAATCTTACGTGGCATAGGATATTTCAAGAGTTAAAATGCTTTTAATTCAGCTAAAATAACAAATGTATTAGATAATTACATTTCTCTATATCAACACTGCTGCACACATTAAAATGGGAGGCAGCTTTGAAATTATTGAAGAAAAGATAGATTTTTATTATAGTAATTTATATGATGTCTAATTCATGTCTCAGAAATGCACTTATAAATAATCCTTAAATTACATCTTTCACTTATATTTGAAGAATTTTTGGCTTTTTTCAGAGGAAAACTATCCTACACCTCTTACAGCACAGTAAATAAAACATTTATAAAGGTAGGTAGTAAAAAAGGGACAGTCTAGAAAAATCTATATAAATCAGGATCCTGAGAGTTCTTTTTAAGATTGAGGATGAGAAGTAATTTTTCTCATTAAAGTCCCTTGTGTGAATAAAATAGTTCAATATTTTATAAATATTTAATAAATTATTATTTCCTACAACTTATGAGTGTTTGGACAATTGAAGCTATGTTTGGAATATGAGTATATGTCTGTCTATGTGGGGAAGAGATGATGATAAATGCCTGACACTATGTGTCTTGAAAAAGACTAGGCAAAAGAATTTCTAAGTTTTACAGAAGGCAGAAAGGATGCTTAGTGGGATTCTTTATGGTACAAATTTGAAAGTGCCTGATGGAAGTGCTTCTTCATGCTTAAATCTTAAAAGTATTAATAATAATATTATATGATACAAATAATGAGCTGGGCAGAGGTAAAATCTTGCAGAAATCATACTAGATGCTTTACTTGTTTAAGTTTCCCAACAACACTGCAATGTGGACATTAACCTCCCCTTTACATTTGAATAAACTGGATCTTAGATGCTTAAGAACCTGAAGCAAATAAGTGTTGAAACTAAGCATGATCCCAAATCCCTCACACGCCAAACTTTACGTTCTTGTATTGCATCATGTTGATTTCCTGTGCTGAGGAAAAAGTTATTTTTCCTTTTACTATCTATAATATAAGTAGTTATTTGCATACTGGTTCTGGCACTGTCTTACACAGGACGTTCCAATAACTGCCAGTCACATAGCGACGATTATGCTTGATTAAGCAGATCCAGTAAGTACTTGATCGACTTTTTCCCATAAATGCTGACATTCTGCAGCCAAAGGGAGAATAACACTTGCCATTATTCTGAGCACTCTGTGCATCTCCCCTCGTCCCTCCCAATAATACCTGGCCCTGAATTTCCTAAGATCAATGTTCCCAGATTATTAGACTCAGCCCAGATTCCAGGGTTTCCATCAAATTCTTCCTGGGTAATTTGAGATTTTGAGTTCTATAAGTACTACAGGCAGACAGGTGACAATTTGTGAGATTTGAGGGTATGTTCAGCAGGTATCATTGTTGCTATTGGTCATTCTATCCCAGATAATTCATTGTTAGCAATGTTGAAGTCCTCACAGTGCTCCAGAATCCTCTAGAAATACATAGGAAAGAGTGCTTTCAAAATTGTTAATGCATACTATTATAAGAATATAAATATCCCCACAAGATAACCTGATAGCTATTGGCTAGCACATTGTTTTATAGTCTGCTGATTGGATGACTTCAGCCGTTTCTCAAAAGGTGGCCCAAGGTTCCTGTGTATCAGAATTGCTTGACAATTTTGATACCCCTCTGGGCCCTATCCCCCTGCCTCAGATTATCATACCCTCTAACTTAGAGTATTAGAGGAATATAAGTAGCTTAATGTAATAAAGTTTAATTTTATGTAGCACTCAAATGGGGGTCAAGCAACATTCCCGAATGCTTTCCTCTAAAAATGACCCAGGGATTTGAGCTCTTCCTTTGGTGGGCTCCCCGTTTCAGTGTTCCTTGCTTGCAGCCATATAGATGAAGAGATGAAGGTAGCCAAAGAAAGAGTAAGGAAAACCTAATGAGAGGAGGACATGAATCTCAAAGCAGATATTATGAGTCAGGCCCTACCATTGACGTGAACTGATTACAAGGACCCAGCTGAATGCAAGAGGGCTGGGAATATACCCAAGAGGCTAATAAACATGGTTTGGGGAACACATAGCATTTTCTCTGCTTCGTAAGTTATGTGAGTAAGGCTGATTAGAATGGAGAAAAGCAAAGTCAAGTAAGCATGCCACGTTTTGATTGAAATGGAATTTTAATGGGTACCCAACAATGCCTTTATAGTTAATATAAGCCTGTGTAAAGAAGATGTGATCATAATGTGACTTTTAGGCAGGTTGTTTTCATTTCCATACATCTGCATTATGGTCTTTGGGAAAATTCACATGGGAACTGTTGATAAGGAATATCTGAAATCAGGGCCAGCTTCATGTAACCTGTGTTGTTGCACAGGGCTGTGCTCTCACAAAGGTCCACATTTGGCTTAATGCTCTGCTATTGTATTGCTGTCTTAAAATTCTTAATCATTTTGAACAAGAGGTTGTGCATTTTCATTTTGCACTGGATCCTTTTTCTAAGCACTCAGGCTGTCTCCCATTACATAGCTGGTCCTACCTGAAACTTGTGCCTTATCAGTGATTAAAATTAAGGCTTCAAGGATAAAATGAAGACATAGTCTTTAAGATGCAGTCAATGCTAATTGATCTTTTAGAGAAGACAAGTTACAATAATAAAGTTCCAAGGGTGGGGGTGTGGGCTCACACAGGTGCATGTGAACATGGGCCTGTGCAAAGTTTATTAGGAGCAATTTGTTTTAATTGATATTCATTGGGCATCATTCCACTGTTTATTCTTACCTACTCATGTGAAGAGTTGGTTGATGTCAATTGCACAAACATTTGTTTCAGAGAAATGGGTGTTTCAGTTGGATAAATTTTAATTAAGTAACCTTTACTGTACAAGTAGTTGCTTTTGAAGCCAGGAGAAAAATGACTATAATTTATTAATTCTATAATCCAGAATCTGAAGATATTGAATCTTGTCTACTCTAACCTTGAATATAATTTTCACTATGAATGTCCTAAATATCTGGCCACAAGAATAAGGAATACAAAACATTTCCAATGTATTGTTAAATTCTTCTCCTATTGCAAATGCCTAGGCATTTAATTATTAATTAAATAATTTAATTTATTTATTATTATAAATTTATTAATATAAATTAAATAATAATTTAATTATTCTCAAGCTCATATATACAGGACTTGATTGCTGATGCTGGTAAGCAAAGTAGCCAAAAGTCTTGAATTTCCAGATCATTTGGTTCTGAAATAATTTATTTGTGATTGCTGCTTCCACACCACTTGTATACATTACTACTGTAGTATATCACATTTCATAGGGATGTATTTATTTATACATATGCCAAAGGACCACACTGAACTCTTAATTCCTTGAGAACAGGTGCTGTATCTTATTTTTCCCA
>NT_187627.1:0-143900 GCF_000001405.40 Homo sapiens
GAATTCCATGCCTCTGTTCATCTTCTTCCTGCTAGTTAGAACATCCTTCCCACCTTGTCACCTGGTCAACCATGGCTCATCCTTCACCTCCCAGCTCAAGTATCACCTACTCAGTAGTCTCCTGACTCCTCACCAGATGCAGTAACTTTCTACTTTGTGCAACCTACCACTGCATTTTGTACACATTTCTAACATAAATCAGATAACAATGTAATTTGCTTACTTTTCTTCTCAATTTCAAACTGAATTACCTAAAAGCAGAATGTTGCTTTCGTTTTTGAAAACCCTACAACTGAGAGTGCCTGGTCCACAAATAATGGTTTTTGAGCAAGTGGAGTTCAAAAAGATTTCATACCTAGCACTGATCTTTCACAACTCTATTCATTAGGAGATGTGAAAAATAACTTCCATTATAAAAATAAAACCACGAAGTATCACTCAGTCACTTACATAATCAAAAAGGAGGAGGCCGGGCGCAGTGGCTCACGCCTGTAATCCAGCGCTTTGGGAGGCCAAGGCGGGCGGATCACGAGGTCAGGAGTTTGAGAGCAGTCTGGCCAACATGGTGAAACCCCATCTCTACTACAAATATAAAAAAAAATTAGCCGGGCACAGTGGTGGGCGCCTGTAATTCCAGCTACTCAGGAGGCTGAGGCAGGAGAATCACTTGAACCCGGCAGGCAGAGGTTGCAGACAGCCAAGAATGCACCATTGCGCTCCAGCCTGGGCAACAAGAGTGAAACTCCGTCCCAAAAAAAAAGAGGAGAGAGGGAGAATAAACAGAAACAGAAACAAACCAAAAGTGGTTATCCAGTATTATTTGGGATTAGCTTCTTAATTTGAAGACAGACAAGTGCACCACCAATTAAAGATAATAGACACCTAGCGGAATCTAGGTGTCTACTTCTTGGTCTACAATAAGCTTCTTGGCAAAGCACTACTAGAAAACCCCCGCCTAATCAGTTTCTTTTTTCGGCTATAAAGCAGAAATCTAACTAGTCCTTCAACATCACCTCCAGAAAAGTATTTCATAAAATTTACATCTGAGAGAGTTAAACCACCAGCTCCTGGCCATAAAGATACACAGGCAGGCCGTACATGACAGAATGTCATAAAATTAGTTCCAGCATGGTCATCAGTTCAGCCTCTAAACTTGAGAACTCACCGACAGCACACCTCACATGGGTCCACCCAGAGAGTGAGCTCCTTTGGCAAGCCCAGGTCACTATACAAGATGCAGCTGTTTTCACAGGCTTTCAGGACATCAGGATCAACTCTCTGAAATTTATTGACACGAATACATCTACAACAAAGTGGAGTTACGTTAATGGATTTAAATGAATTTAATCATAAACGCCGTAATATCTATTCATACTTGCCAAGGTGAGTAATAAAATAGTAATAAAAAAATACCCTGGTAGAGAACCTAGGAGCATATCTATCCTAAACAGATAATAAATGTGAACTACAGGCACAGAGGCAGCCTGAAAAAAAGATGGCACCTATGTGAGCCCAAGGAAATCACTAGTACTGGGTCTACCTCAGTCTACCCAGAGACTTGACCACCCATGTACATTAAATGAGCACGGAGTATGAAAGTTGCACGAAATTTTAGAACTCTGAAGGTAAAAGTTTCTATAGGCCAAGTTCCTATACAAAAAAATCTCTAACAAAAGGCCTCATCTAATGTTTCAGATGGTATTTGGAAATGCTTACGACAAATTCTGATCTGTCATTAACTTGCTTTTATATCTCAGATAGTAAAGTGGTAAGAGGACACCCTTGCTTTACCTATAATTGTTCTATAAATACAGGATAAGTGAAGGACACAGATTCATTCATATCATATACTTATGATTAAAATACCTAACTAACATGTTATTGGCTTATTTCATTTAACTTCTATTTACCCAAGCACTTTTATTTAAATAGTTGTCAAAATTAAGTGAGGAAAATTTCTAAACCAATAAAGCCTCTGTCCCATCTTTTTTTAACCTATTATACGACATCTACCTAATGGAATGTTTAATAAATAAAAAATATGCATTCTGTTAAATGATAAGCATTCTGATTAAGTAGGGAAATAGGGCCTATGAAGGAAAAGTATTTACTGCCTACAATCAAGAATCAATCAAGAGAACTTGGATTTCAGCACTAATCCTAGTATTTATCAGGTAAGCCTAGTTAAGTCACTGTACCTCTTCCTCAGACCTGTAACTATAAAACATGGAAATACAAGTTAATTGATGAATAGTAATTACGCTGTAAAATACAATGATATAAAGACTAATGTGCTATTTAAAGTTTTTGTAAAAGTTAAATTATTAGTTGGTTTTAATTTCTATTTAAAAAATGAAAAAGTTCTCAACAGGTAATAGGAATAAGTGTTTCTACATAATAATATTAACAATAATAAGCATTTTAAAAAATTTATTATGCAATGGACAATTTCCTAAATGCTTTGCATGTATTAACTCTTAATTCTCATGATCATCCTGTGAGTTAGATACTTTTTTCCTCAGCATAAAGAAAAAAGGAGGCAGAGAGAGTTTGAGTAACTTCCCAACATTACACAGCTACTAAGTGATGGATCTAGGGTTCAAATCCAGGCCACTAGACTCCAAAGAGCAAGTTATTTCCTTAATACTCAACCCTGTATATACGTACCTATCTTAGCGTCACCATTAACAATATAACAAAGGCAAAGTGAGAAAAATTATTTTCTAGTATGTAAAATACTGCTTAGTCCTTTTAAAAACATGGTCTTATGCTATAGATTCTAATATTGTATAGGGTAATTTGAAAGATCCCATGTGCTCTGGGACCAAAAGCAGTTAAGGATAAAAAGATATATCTTAGATGTATGTGTTTTTCTTATCTACAATTAAGGTGATACAGGCTCTAAGCTTACAAATTATATATAAATATAGATGCTTAAACAGAGACTATGCTTCAACAAAATCTGCATACCTTACATGTTTTGTACTATTTTTTTTCACTCTACATACTACTTATCCATTAACTACTCTTCAAAAACAAAATTTTAAAAGTTGCATAAAAATATTCTATCATTTACTTAATGTTGACAGTTTAGTTCTTTCCATTTTTGCAATTACAAAGTGTAAGAGACATCCATATTCATACATGTTCGTCTGCATTTCTAATTATACTTCTAGAATAGATTCTTGGGAGACTTACTGTTCAAAAGGTATGAATATTTTTATAGATCTTGATAATATTGCCAAATTGCTCTCTACAAGTATCTTATTTATATTGCAGAAAAACAATTTCAACTTACAAACATTTTGTAAGAGAAAGAACACTCCACCTATTCTACAGACTGAAGTCTCTACTAACTTGGTTAATCTTATATTCTATTCATTTTTATAATAGTAACAACCCACTATTTTTTCTACTTCAAATACAGCTTTAAAATGACTCAGTAATGATACTTCTGATCACATGCCAATTTAATCGTTTCAGTTTTTTTCTCAAGTTTTTAGAATTAATGGAAATGAAATTGTACACTGTCTGACCTTTAAATATTTACTTGACAGTGCCTCCTTTTTCAGTAATAGTATGGTGGCTTGGCACTTCCAAAAAGCCTTCATCCAATGTCAGTTAAATCAGAGTAAAAAGCCTCAACAGTTCTAACTTAACGAAAGCTGTTCACTCTATTGGAAATGAAAATATGCAAAAAAAAAATTAAGATAATCAAGAGATAAGATAAAAAATGACTTGAGCCTGTGTTAGCGTGCACATTTCTATTTTAATTCATTTTCCAATTTACTGGAAACCTCTTTGGATTAAAAATGAAAAGGAAAATAAACTATTTTGATTCTCTTCTTGTCAATAGAACACAAGCTCACTTGACTTTCAGTACATGAGAAATTAGCAAATAATATGTTTACCTCCTTTTTAGACTCCTTGAATAGTGCTGTACTTGCAAGAGCCCAGTGGCAGAAAGGAAGTCCTTCTGACATCAAAGCACAAAGTGTTGATTTGTGTAGGAAACTTTGGGGACATCAATATACACAAATAAAAGAGTATTTCTGTAGTTATCACTATAGTCACTGTTCCACTTTTATTTCTCGTGGCCACATCCACAAAATGGGACAATGTTTGGCAGCTGAGTTTAGCAGAACATTCTCAACTGAGGTTCCTGAGCAGTCACATAAATACTACAGTGAGCATGCCAGGGCATGTTTTATAGGAGTCTGCTCTTCTTTACTTTAAGCTGTAAATGTACCTTATACAGCAGAGTACAAAAGACAGCTCCAAGTGAGAATTACCTTCGTTCTCAGTGCCAAAACAGTGGTAACACTGTGGTGTGCAGAAAGCCCATGAAAACATGGGGTCATGTAGACCTGAGTTCAAATCCCAGAACCTTGGCCAGGCATGGTGGCTCACGCCTGTAATCCTCACATTCTGGGAGGCAAAGGGAGAAGATCGCGTGAGGCCAGGAGTTTGAAACTCACCTGGGTAACACAGCAAGATCCCATCTATACAAAAAAAAATTTGTTTTTAAATTAGCCTGGTGTGTTGGCACATGTCTATAATCCTAGCTACTTTGGAGTCTGAGGCAGTAGGATTGCTTGAGCCCAGGAGTTTGAGGCTGCAGTGAGCTATGGTTATACCACTGCACTCTAGACTGGGTGACAGAGCAAAAACAATACCACAAAAAAAAAAAACTCCCAGAAAAGCAAATCCCAGAGCCATTATTTACTAGTCGTGGATCACAGGTGAGTCACATTCATCTAGAAAATAGTTACACTGACTTCTACCACAAATATATAAATGAGATTATTCTTGTATTAACGACATATCAGGTGTCTGATAATCTTAGTTCCCTTTTTCCATACTTTTTTTTTTTTCAAAGAACATATAACATGTAATTTACTTTTAGATGCAAGATTCACTTCTTTCAACTCCTACCATGCCCATTAATGTGTTATTAGGGGTCCTCTAGAATTGTGAAAATCCCTAAGTATTTGTGATAAACAGAAATGCACTGTTAGGAGCCAGGCTATAACCACAAAAGACTAACTCCTTTGACCCCATAGCATTGGCCTCCTGTGTCCAGGCAGTGGGACTCCACCACTCCGCCAACAAATACTTGTTTTAAAATGAGTAAGGAGAAAATATACAAACACCCCAGAGTTCTATATTTTGCAGATGAAACACCTGTAGGCATGGTCTGCACACCCTTCAATCATCCGGCCTTGAACCCACCTCAGGGGTTGATCAGCCTCTGCTTAATCCAATCTAATCCTTTACCTGTAGGCCTGTCCTTTCGATGGTTTTTCTGGATACCAGTGATTTTTATATTTTTCTTGAAGTATTAGGGTCAATTTCTCAGCAAACCTCTCAACTGCCTCTTTTTTCAACTTATCATGTTTTCGAACTAGCCTTGTGAAAAAGAAGACAACGGCAGCAATTTCATTCTTCATTTTTTTCCCTGCAAAGATAAAACATGTTTTCTCAGAAAAACAAAATATAAAAACTGGGAAGATGAAGCTCTGTAAGATATACCTCCTTTACAGCTCTCCCCTTCCTCCTTCCAATTTTATCTTGTATTTCTTTGGCTTATATCTGAAGTAGAGAACAATCTACTTATCTTTATGCCATAAAGGCCTTATTATAAAATACTACTTAAAAATCTTATCACTTAGCTTCATGAAGAAATTCCATAAAGATAGCACGTTGCTCCTGTTGGCTAAAATAAAACCACACCTATCAGTAAAAGAGAAGCACTATAATAAATGATACGACATAGATGTTACTGTGTGTGTCAATATTTAGCTGCAATAATCTAAGTTTAAAATTCTGTGAAATGATTTGAACTTTAAAACATAAAAAAAGTCTACTTTAAAATCTAGAACTGTAGAGCTATTTTATAACAGAAAAGTTCGGCAGTTCCTAGAAAGGTTAAACACAGAGTTATCATATGACACGGCCAATTCTACTTCTATTTGCCCAAGAGAAATGAAAACATATGTCCACACCAAAACCTTGTACAGAAATGCCCATAGCAGTATTCATAATAGCTAAAAAGTGAAAACAATATGTTTACCAACTAAAGAATGGACAAATACTGTGTTATACACACGTATGGAATATTATTCAGCAATGAAAAGGAATGAGTACTAATACAAGCTACAATATGGGTGAACCTTGAACACAGAAATGCCCACAGCAGTATTCATAATAGCTAAAAAGTAAAAACAATCTATATGTTTACCAATTAAGGAATGGACAAATACTGTGGTATATACATGTAATGGAATATTATTCAGCAGTTAAAACGAATGAGTACTAATATAAGCTACAACATGGGTGAACCTTGAATACATCACACTAA
The DNA here is from genome assembly GCF_000001405.40 of Homo sapiens. NCBI lineage: Eukaryota > Metazoa > Chordata > Mammalia > Primates > Hominidae > Homo > Homo sapiens. Next base: position 6,362 of record NT_187627.1, read on the forward strand.
GGGAAAGAAGCCAGTCACAAATGACCACATATTGTACGATTCCATTGATATGAAATATCCAGAATAAGCAAATCTATATAGACAGAAGACAGATTAGTGGCCTACGGGGAAGTGGGAAACCAAGAAAAGGAGCATTGCTAATAAGTACAGGGTTACTTTTTGAGGTGATAAAAATATTTACTAAATTTCACTATAGTAATGGTTGTACAACTTTGTGAATATACTAAAACCATTGAACTGTACATTTTAAATGGGTGAATTGCATGGTATATAAATTAAATCCCAAAACTGTTCTACATAAAAAATTTCAGCATTGACTTTCCGAAAGTACTCTTTCAGGAAGAGAGATACATTTATCCACAAGTTAAGAGACACAAAAACTAGTGGATCTATCAGGACATATTTAAGAAATGGAAATTCAGGTCACCCGCAGAAAAACAAACTAAAAGAAATAATCAGAGATTTAGCTACATTTTGGATTGCCTCAAAGGACTTTAAAAATGGTATATCTGATTTATCATTGATTAATCCTTAAGGGCAAACCCTTGTCCTAAGATTGTTTTGATGTATGTTGTCTCTACTCAGTGAGCTCATTCATCTGGCTGCTGTAACCTGGAGTTATTAAGATGCTGCCTTTAGTAAGCAACATCACCTTTTTGGGAGCCAATTACGTATTAAAAACATACAGCCTCTGCTATGTTTAGCATAAAAACAACTAACCTAGCAGTAGTTTGTGTTCCCACATTTCCAAAAAAATAAAGCTGATTGTTAGCTTTCTTTTCTCAAACTGCTCTTTCAGTCTCTCTTCAGAATATGACTCCTTTATTCCAAGTGCAAATTCAAACAAGGAACCTCACTGTGAAATAAATTCTACACAGTTATCTGAGAGGTGTGCTGGCAGCCGCAGATAGCCTGATGGAGGGGAAGGCACACAAATCTTCCTCCCAGAACCCTAGAATGAGAAATTCACCTTCTACAGCCAGCTAGCAGGCACCGGGCATGGGTCCACACACGAGTGTACACGTATACATAACCCCAGCCCACCACGACTGCTGTGCAGCCTCCTCCTGAAAAATGTAAGCCATTTCCACTTTGTAAAGCTACGTTTATATTCCACCACGATACGATGGAAAAGAAAACCCAAGGCAATTTAATATACGGGTTGGGAAGAAAGTTTTGCTGATGGAACTACATTAGCCTCCACTCCAGCAAAGCAAACAAGGAACCACACTAAAGAAATGTACTGAATCTTTTAACTAGATCTTTCTCCTCATTCATTACATTTGCCAACTATGTGCCACATATCTGAGTTCTGGATTTGTTTCTGTTTGCTCTGCTTCATATAAAAAAATAGAAAAGAAGGAAAGAACCACTTAGTGGTTGCTTTTGGTTGTAACACAAGATGACTCATTTGGACTTTTGTTTTCCCCGTTTGAAGAAATGATAGCTCGAACAGCTGAAAAATAAGCCCACTCCCACCAGTATTCTAGGAGTACCAAAAGGTGAAAGAGGGAGAGTTACAGTCAGGGCAAGAACCACCAGAGGCAAGCAGGGCCAAGAAGACCTCAGGCGTCTTGAGTAAGTAGGCGTCCTCCACCCACACTCAGAGCAAAAGGCTCCCATTTTAAATATCGCACGGTGACGTCATCCTGGGACCTCGTCACCGCGGCGGCTGCTCCTCAAGTTCTACTTTGTTCCACAAGGCTCCTCTGCTCACGGCTGCGTGGATAAAACCCAAAGGGAATCCAGAATCAAGCTCGGCCTCGCAGGAGTTTATAACTTTTGTACTTTTCCCTCCCTTGTAACGAAAAGCTAATCGCAAACGTTTCTAGGAACACATTTTTCTCCTGATAGACGTTCCCAAGGTGGAGGGCGCGAGAAGACTGGCCCGTGGGGTGAGGAGCCCCGGCCCGACCTCAGCGGCGCCACAAAGCCATGAAGAGGGGAAATAATTTTCCAAGGGGCTAAGAGTTGGACTTTCTGAAGCCATCGAAACCTGCTGCTAGGCTCTCCCGCTGGGGTTTTGAGAGAGGTAGGTGAGGAGGGATCAAACATCTCCACCCGCTCTTGAAAGAACCGCCTTGAGCTGCGCCCAACTTCTGCAATCCCGGTTTTCCCCAAGTTCAAGGGGAAGGGCCCTGGCGCCCAATGCCCAGCCTCCCCGACAACATCCTCGCCAGGGTGCGCCTGCCCCGCGGGTCCGCTGTCCCCGGCGGGCGGCCCTGGGTTCGAGGACCCGGCTTCCCGGAGGCGCGACTCTCCAGCAAACAAGCGGAGCTCCAGAAAAAACACCGACGCGAAGGGGGTGGACAGAGGGTGGGAAGCCGCGGGGTTGTCGCCCACCCGGAGGCGGAATGTAACGCGCTGTGGGAAACGTGGCAGGAGCCCTGAGGCGGCGTCTTTTTCCTCAGGCGCCCGCCGAGGGTCCCGCGGAAAGCCTCGCGGGCCGCCCTCGCGGCCCGCAGCCCCGCTCTGGCGCCGAGCCGGAGCCCATGCAACCTGGTTCCATCCCCTGCCCCTCCCCTGTCCCCGGTGCGCCGCCCGCCAGCGAGCCTTCGACGTGGCCGCAGGGGCGACGGGACCACCCTCCCCCGATACCCACAGCCCCGCCATGTCTGCCTTTCCCCGGCCCGGTCTCCTCACCGCCGCTGCCGCCGCCGCTCTTCGGCCGGAGATTCGGCGGCCCAGACCGTGTCCTGGCCGGGAACTGAGGGCTCCGCCTCAACGGGCCCGCGCTGGGCAACAGGGAGCGCAGCGAGCCTCGTCCGGCGCGTGCGGCTCCCGCGTCGTCGGGCGGCCAAGCGCGCGTTGAGAGGACTGGCGGGCGGACGAGCGCGCACACGAGTGAGCGCAGCCCCAAAGCGGCGCGCAGGGGGCTCGCGGCCCGGAAGAGGGGAGGGGCGATGACCCGGGAAAGGGTTGGCGCGCGCGGGATCGGCTCGCGCGCCTGAGGGGCGGTGCCGGGGGCGGGGCTTCGCCGCGAGGCCACCCCCGAGCCCCGGGCCTAGCCGCACGGGAGGCGACACACCCTCGCCCTACCCTGAGCCTGGCGCAGACCCTCGACCGCGACGGCGCGGTCCGCAGAACCGCGGGCTTCCCTCCCCGGCAAAAAGCGGCGCTGAAGGCCTGTGGGACCCCCGCCCGGCCGCCCTACGTGCGTCAGCGCCTTCGGGGGTCGCGCGGGCTTGGTCCTTTCGGCTGTCTCGGCCTTTTTGTTTCCCCCTCAGGTCTCTCCACGCTGCACTTGACACCCTCAGGGCGGAATGGCGAGTTCTAGACCCAGCTCTCTAGACCCGGGGCTTCATGGGGGACACGGACTCGACGGGAAGGGGAACTTGGCATTTATGGACAGATCCTCATCCTTCTTGCTGTAGTCAATTACACGCACGTTAACCGTGCAGCCGCCCTGCTGTATTTTAGGCGGTTGTTGGCACTCCTAGTTGGGCCCTTCCCTGGCCCCTCACAGCAGGGCCTGCCTCCTGTGGACGCTTGTGTGCTGCCCTGGCACCGGCCACTGTGTTTTGCATAAAGGAGAGGCTCCAAAGATGTTGGCCAAAGGAATGAAGCCTTGAGAGTCCAGGCTTTCTATTTCTGAGACACTCTACTCAAGGACTTCCCAGATGCAAAGCTTCATCTTTGAGCAAATACAAATATGGAGAGGGAACATTAACTTTCTGAAGAAAAGAAGGAACATCTTTTCAACCTTTTATATTGAGTTAACACCATGGTCTTAGTTTTGTGAAAGCACTTTAATACATCCAACTAGCGGGAGGAATACAAGATATTCCTACCTTTTTATTATTATTATTAAAAGAGGGCTAAACCATGTTGTAAACTACTTAAGAACTGAATGTTCAAGTTGTACAGTATATTGGCCAGATTCCTTACTGCCCACTAGGCTTGGGAGCATGTTTTCAGCTCAGTTTTATGAATGTTTTAAATTTGTATTACTGATCTTTGTTATAGCCAATTAGCAATTCAAAATGGTAATTTTTTTAGCAGTAATAAATATACCATCCCCCAAACAGTACAATAAACTTTATTTGTAAAAAAAAAAAATTATACTCTTCTAGGACTTAGTCTACTTACTGGTACATTTAAAGAGGATATTTACACCTTGGAGTCTTCTAGGAGGTGTGAAGGTGTTTTTATTTTAAAATCATAACAATCTGATGAGGTTATTTTTACAGATAAAGGCCTTTAATTCTGCAGTTTCATAAAATAGCTAGGTAACCACCCACATTACTCAAAATTTGTCCAGAAATTTCTATAGTTTAGGATTAGTATTTTGTGTAGTATTTATAAATCTGTGGTCCACATTTTCCAGTCTTAGAGCAGTACCATATTCAAAAAATACAGGCAAGAACCTGAAACCCAATTTCAAAATGACTTTTAAAAAATTCTCAGGCTGGGCACTGTAGCTCATGCCTGTAATCCAGTACTTTGGGAGGTCAAGGAGAGAGGATCATTTGACTCCAGGAGTTCAAGACCAACCTGGCCAACATCATGAAACCCAATCTCTACAAAAAATACACAAATTAGCCAGGTGTGGTTGCATGCAGCTGTAGTCTCAGATACTCTGAAGGCTGGGGTGAGAGGATCACCTGAGCCCAGGAAATTGAGGCTGCAGTGAGCTATGATAACATCATGGCACTCCAGCCTGGGTGACAGAGCAAGACTCTGTCTAAAAAAAGAAAAAAAAATTCTCATAGCTGAACACTGTGAAATAGACACATAGCAAACAATGTCTCTTAAACACTTTTTCTCTCATCCACTTCCCTTGCACACACAGTATTTGTTTTTATGTCTCTTTCAAAACTTGCCCTACTCTTGTGTGCTTCAGATGCTTTGCCCCAGCTCTCTTTCCTTGTGAGTTGGAATCACAAAATCACAAATGAATTGGTATGGCAAGGCAGAGCCCTCCTCTTTATGGGACTGAAAGAGGAGAGCTGCTATAAACTAAATGTTTGTGTCCCTCGCAATATTCGTATGTTGGAGACTAAATCCCCAATGTGATGGTATTTGGAGGTGGGGCCTTTGGGAGACACTTAGGTCATGAGGGTGGAACCTTCATGAATGGAATTAGTGCCCTTGTAAGTGGAAACATGAGAGAGATGATCACTCTGTCTGCTCTCTTGCCAAGTGAGGATATAGGGAGAAGACAGCAAACCAGAAAGCATACCTTCACCAGACACTGGATCTGCTGGTACCTTGATCTTTAACTTCCCTACCTCCAAACTGTGAGAAATTTCTGTTGTTTAAGCCACACAGTCTATAGTATTCTGTTATAGCATCCTGGAATAAGACAGGAGCAGAGCTGATGTAAATAATTACAGTAGTTCCCCCTTATCCACGGTAGGATATGTTCCAGGATCCCCAGTGGATGTCTGAAACTGCACATGGTACCAAACCCTATGTATAATTTATAAATTAGGAACAGTAAGAGATTAACAATAATTATAATAACAGAACAATTATTATAGTACACTGTAATAAAAGTTATGTGAATGTATGCTCGCTCTCTCTCAAAATATCTTATTGTACTGTACCACTGGTAACTAAAACTGGTGAAAATGAAACCAGGGATAAGAGGGAACTACTATACTCATTAATATGTATTTCCATTTCACAGCTAACTTTAAGATATTCACTTCTATTGTGTGTTAATGGTGTAGTTTGCTTTTAGCACAAGTGGTTTCTTATGAAAATGAGCCACTCTAATATGTCTAGGGCTTTATAATCACAGGAATCATCACACACATCCTGTGGTTGTGTCTCAGAGTTGCAGAGAATGCAACTTAGAATCAACAAAATCTGTGAAATAGCTTTCAAAATTAGGACTTATTTTCACTAAATATGTGAGTCTTTAAAATCCTTTGAACTCAAGAGTTCAGCATTAAAAGCAAAACAGTCGGCGGGTCGTGGTGGCTCACGCCTGTAATCCCAGAACTTTGGGAGGCTGAGGCAGGTGGATCACCTGAGGTCAGGAGTTTGAGACCAGCCTGGCCAACATGGTGAAACCCCATCTCTACTAAAAATACAAAAATTAGCCAGGTGTGGTGGCATGCTCCTGTAATCCCAGCTGCTCAGGAGGCTGAGGCAGGAGAATGGCTTGAACCTGGGAGGTGGAGGTTGCAGTGAACTGAGATCATCGTGCTCTGCACTCCAGCCTGAGCAACAGAGCAAGACACTATCTAAAAAAGAAAAGAAGGAAAAAAAAACAGTCTTGGGTACCATCTTCTCAATTCACTTGTCAAGTTTGAATCTGAATACAAAAGTCTTTTTTTTTTTTTTTTTTGAGACAGAGTCTTTCTCTGTTGCCCAGGCTGGAGTGCAGTGGTGCAATCTCGGCTCACTGCAAGCTCCGCCTGCCAGGTTCACGCCATTCTCCTGCCTCAGCCTCCTGAGTAGCTGGGACTACAGGTGCCCACCACCATGCACGGCTAATTTTTTGTGTTTTTAGTAGAGACAAGGTTTCACTGTGTTACCTAGGATGGTCTCGATCTCCTGACCTCATGATCTGCCAAAACAGTCACTTTTATAATGGACATGGAGGATTTTGTGTTATGTTAGTTGCATTAGCTATGTAGAGAAACTGGTATGTAACATAGAGGATGTTACGTTACATAGCATATGTTACATTATGCTATGTAACATCAAGGAAAAGTGTGTGCAGCCTTCTGGGGCCTTTGGAGGTCCAGCAAGTAAGATCTGAGACTATAATTTTAAGAACACTTCAACACATTTCTTCAAAAATTTCCAGAACTTAGCCATGTAACTAAATTAAAAAAGACTAAATCTACTTCTCTTGCATTAGCTTCTTAAATATCCATAAAGCAGCAGTGATTAAAGTATAAGCATAAAGAAAATTTGCAATCTTCATTATTTTCTCCGTTACATCATGCCATAAAACTGACTTCCAAAAGTCAAAACACAAACTCTCTTGATGAATGAGGCAATGGAAACTGGGCACACCAACCTCCTATTTTGAGTTGCATTAACTGTGGAAACTTTCCTCCCTACCTCAAAGAGGCCTCAAACTTGGCTCATCTTTTTCAGAAGAAAATGCTTTGATCAAACTTTTCATATTATTGTTTGGTAATTGGTTAGGATTTATGTGAACTAGGTTAGGGTGATGTATAAGTTATGACACTCAAGTGGGCCAGACACTCTATGCTTAGGTAGAACTTCATATTGGAAATCCCTGGAGTAAAATTTCCCAGCTTGGCAGGAGAGGTGCCATTATTGTTGTTGTTGTTGTTGTTGTTTGGCAATACTCTCCTATTCTCCATGCCAGCAGAGAAACTGACTTTTATTAGTGAGTAATGCATAAACTCCTATCTTTATTTTAGTATATGTGCTGCCGAAGCGAGCACAACTCCTATCTTTATTTTAGTGCAACAAAATTAAGAATATAATAAGAATATAGGTATTCCGGCATACCTCGGAGATATTGCGAGTTCAGTTCCAAACCACCACAATTAAGTGAATATTGCAATAATGCAAGTCACACACTTTTTGATTTCCTGTGCCTATTAAAGTTATGTTTACACTATTTGTAGTCTATTAAGTGTGCAGTAGCATTGTGTCTAAAAAGTACTTAATTAAAAAATATTTTATTGCCAAAAATGCTAATGATCATCTGAGCCTTCAGGGAGTCCTAATCTCTCTGCTGGTTGAGGTCTTGCCTCGATGCTGGTGACTGCTAACTGATCAGTGTGGCGGGTGATGAAGGTCGGGGTGGCTGTGGCAATTAAAAAAAATAAGACAGTAATAAAGTTTGCTCCATTGATTGACTCTCCTTTTCATGAAAGATTTCTCTGGTAGCTTGTGATGTTGTTTGGTAGCATTTTACTCACCGTAGAACTTCTTTCAAAATGCAAGTCCATCTTCTCAAACCCTGCTGCTGCTTTATCACTAAGTTTATGTAATATTCTAAATTCTATGTTGTCATTTCAACAATGTTCGTAGCATCTTCACTAAGAGTAGATTTTATCTCAAAACACCATTTTGTAGCCAGGCACCGTGGCTCACACCTGTAATCCTAGCAACTTGGGAGGGATTGCTTGAGTCCAAGGAGTTAAAGGCTGCAGTAAGCCTTGATCGCAGCACTGCACTTCAGCCTGGGCAACAGGAGACACTCCTCATTCATTCAAATTTTATCATTAAATTACAGCAATTCAGCCACATCTTCAGGGTCCACTTCTAATTCTAATTCTCTTGCTATTTCTACCCCATCTGCAGTTACTTCCTCCACTGAATTCTTGAATCCCTCAAAGTCATTCATGATAGTTGGAATCGGCTTCTTCCAAACTTCTATTAATGTTGATATTTTACCTTTCTCCTGTGAATTGCGAATGTTTCTAATGGCATCTACAATAGTAAATCCTTTCCCTAGGTTTTCAATTTACTTCGCTCAGAGCCATCAGAGAAATCACTACCTATGGCAGCTATAGCCTTATAAATATATTTCTTTTTCTTTTCTTTTTTTTTGGAGGCGGGGATGGAATCTTGCTCTGTCGCCCAGGCTGGAGTGCAATGACACAATCTTGGCTCACTGCAACCTTTGCCTCCTGGTTAAAGCAATTCTCTGGCCTCAGCCTCCCAAGTAGCTGGGATTACAGGCATGCACCACCACGCCCGGCTAATTTTTGTATTTTTAGAAGAGACAGGGTTTCACCATGTTAGCCAGGCTGGTCTCAAACTCCTGACTTCATGATCCACCCGCCTTGGCCTCACAAAGTGCTAGGATTACAAGCATGAGCCACCACTCCTGGCCATGAATGTATTTCTTAAATAATAAGACTTGAAATTCTAACTTATCCCTTGATCCATGGGCTGCACAATAGATGTTGTGTTAGAGGGCATGAAACAACACTAATCTCCTTGTAGATATCCATCAGAGCTCTTGGGTGACTAGGTAAATTGTCAATGAGCAGTAATATTTTAAGAGGAATATTTTTTTCTGAGCAATAAGTCACTTAAGTAGGCTTACAATATTCAGTAAACCATGCTGTAAACAGATGTGCTGTCATCTAGGCTTTGTTGTTTTATTTCTAGAACATAAGCAGAGAAGATTTGGCATAATTCTTAAGGGCCCTAGGGTTTTCAGAATGGTAAATGACCACTGACTTCAACTTAAAGTCACCAGCTGCATTATCCCCTATTAAGAGAGTTAGCCAGGCTGGGCGCAATGCCTCAAGCCTGTAATCCCAACACTTTGGAAAGTTGAGGTGGGTGGATCATGTAAAACCAGGAGTTCAAGACCCACATGGCGTTCAAGGAGTTCAAGACCAGGAGTTCAAGACCAACAGGAGTTCATGGCTAACATGGCAAAACCCTGTCTCTACTAAAAATACAAAATACAAAATTAAAATACAAAATTTAGCTGGGCATGGTGATGCATGCCTGTAATCCCAGCTACACAGGGGGCTGAGGCAGGAGAATCGCTTGAGCCTGGGAGGCAGAGGTTTCAGTGAGCCAAGATGGTGCCATTGTACTCCAGTCTGGCAGCCTGGGCATCAGAGCAAGGCTCTGTTTCAAAAAAAAAAAAAAGAGAGAGATTCAGGCTATACTTTGAAGATCTGAAGTGAGGCATTGACTTCTCTCCAGTTATGAAGGCCTAGATGGCGTCTGCTTCCATTATAAGGTTGCTTTGTCTCCATTGAAAATCTGCTGTTTAGTGTAGTCACCTTCAACCATGTTCTTAGCTAGATCTTCTGGATAAATTGCTTCAGTTTCTCTATCAGCATTTACTGCTTCGCCTTGCACTTTTATGTTATGGAGATGGCTTTTTTCCATAAACCTCATGGACCAACCTCTGATAGCTTCCAACTTTTCATCTGCAACTGCCTCACCTCTCTCAGCCTTGGTAGAATTGAAGAGAGTTAGGGGCTTGCTCTGGATTAGGCTTTGGCATAAGGGAATGTTGTGGCTGGTTTGATCTTCCATCCAGAGACTAAAACTTTCTCCATATCAGCAATATCATGCTATCTTATCATTCATGTATTCCCTGGAGCAGCACTTTTAATTTCCTTCAAGAACTTTTCTTTTGTATTCACAACTTGGCTGACGAGTTGGCACAAGAGCCCTACCTTTCAGCCTGTCTCGACTGACTTTTGCCATCCACGCTAAACTTAATCATCTCTAGCTCTTGATTTAAAATGAGAGATGTGTGACTCTTTTTTTCACTTGAACATTTGGAGGCCATTGTAGGGTTATTAATTGGCCTAATTTCAATGTTGTTGTGTCTCAGAAATGGAGAAGCCCAAGGAGAGAGAGACAGTGGAATGGCAAAGGTCAGTAGAGCAGTCAGAACACATGTAACATTTATCTATTAAGTTAACTGTCTTGTATGGGTGTGGTTCATGGCACCTCATAACAATCAAAATAGTAACATCAAAGATCACTGATCACAAATCACCTTAACAGATATATTAATTTTGAAAAAGTTTGAAGTATTGTGAGAATTACCAAAATGTGACACAGAGACACAAAGTGATCACAAGCTGTTGGAAAAATGATGCTTAAACACTTGCTTGACACAAGATTGCCAAAATCTTCAATTTGTAAAAAAACATGCAATATCTGCAAGTTCCAGTTAAGTGAAGGGCAATAAAGCTAGATATGCCAGCATTCAATTAGCAAAAGGTTCAGAAATAACGTAAAAAAAAAACTGCTTGAAATACAACTTTATTAATCAGGGTCCTCTAGAGTCAGAACCAATAGGAGGCACAGAGAGAAAATAAATAAATAATTTTAAAAGAAAAAAGACAGAGAGGAGAGATTTATTTTAAACAATTGGCTCATGCAACTGTGGGAGCTAGCAAGTTCGAAATCTACAGGGCAAGCTGGCAGGCTGGTAACTCAGGCAAGAGTTGAAGTTATAGTCTTAAACCCAAAATCCACTGGCAAGATTTTTATGTTATGGTTTTGAGGCAGAATTTCTTCTCTAAAAAACCTCAGTTTTTGCTCTTAAAATGTTCAAATGATTGATATCCACCCACATTATTCAGGATAATCTTCTTTACTTAAAGTCAACTGAGTATAAATATTAAGCACATTCACATCTAGCAATCTGGATGTGGGCACCATAGCTTAGCCAAGTTGACGCATACAATCAACCATCACAACAACCTTCATTCAATAGCATTTTCTTACAGGCATGATGATAAATAGGTTTTAAAACATAAATCCCCTAGTGAACCACATAAAGCATGCTTTTATTAAGAAAACAAATTACCTTGCTTTTATTTTTCTTTGCTCTTTTCAGTCAGTTGTGTGGTAGTGAGGATGGGGTGGGGACGGGGGAAGGAGGATTGGATGTCTGTTTTCAGGAGCATCTGCAGCATAACCATGTCAAATATTTGTGCTAGAGCATTGGGAACAGTGCACACATTAGAAAGGATCAAAAGGAAATAATAAATTGCTCACAATACAGTCAAAGATACTGCTATAAATTAATGTGACCCCTGCAAAATTCAGGTGTTGCTGATGCTATCAACAGTACCAAGAGATGGGACCTTTAGAAGGTAATTAGGCCATGAGGGCTCCTCTCTCATGAACAGGATTAGGTGCCTTTATAAAAGGGCTTGATGGAGGCTCTTCATCCCACTTGCCTTCAGCCATGTGAGGACACATCCTTCCTCTTCTCTAGAGGACGCATCTCTCACCAGATAATAGAACCTGCTGGCAACTTGATCTTGGCCTTCCCAGTCTCCAGAACTGTGAGAAATAAATTTCTGTTATTCATAAATTACCCAGTTCCAAGTATTTTGTTGTAGCAGCACAAACAGACTAAGACATATGTGAGCAATCTACTTTACACATTACAAGTTGTATTATGAATTAAATACCGCATAAAAGTATAAAGACAATAATGGTGTAGGTATATAAAAGGGTTTGTATGTGGTTGGGCTCCCAGCTGAAAGGAAGTTTCACAGGCTTATGAGGGCATCATTGCAAACCTTCTTTGTAATTTTCTGATACAGACTGGTAGAAAGGGAGAAGGCATAAACATAAAGGAATTGCCTCTGAGGCAGAGTCACTCCTTTAATACAGGCAACATCAGTTGCACCACAGAGATGGCTAGAATTAATCAGATTCACACAGCAAGTCCTGACACTTGATGGCTTAATTAGGGTGATTACGGGTAGGCTTTTAAAATTCTGCTTTGTCAGCAGATGACCCAATAAAATGTTACCGTAAAGAGCTTGTTCCCACCCCACCCCAGCCCAGGAGGAGCTCAAAACCTGGACTGTAGTTAGTATATTAATAATGTTTGTGATGTGGTTGGCAAAATATTTTGTAATGATGTGCTTATAAAAGTTGCTTTAGGAGGTAATGGCAGCAGGTCAGGTTTTTCTTTACCTTGTAGGAAGTTACAGCTAACTCTTTTTGTGATACAAAAAGACATGTCTATACCTATATATAATGCATATATGTATATGCTTTATTTCAGGGGGGCATGAAAAGAGATTTATGACAGAACATTTTTGTCAGTGTTTTTATCCTAGCTTGATGTGCTCACAAATAACTGGTTTTTTTTCCAGAAGGAAATAACTAATAAACTATGATGTGTATCATTAGCAACAACCAAAACACAATGGAGGTATTATGTATAGAAGGAGAGTAGAACGAAGTTGTTAGATTGGTGACTCTATTTTGTTTTGTTTTTGTTTGTAATTGTAGACTTGTAAATATTGAACTATCATGGAGCTGAAGAACGAATAGGAGAGAATAATTCTTCTCACTGAATGTTCAACATAAATATAATATAAAAAGGTGCACCATTCTAAGACACTAAAATGTTTCAGAGCAACAACTATTGGGAGAATATATTCACTAGTCCTTCAATATGGGTGTGTAGCTTATGCTAATTTCACTGGGGATCCTCAAGTATATAATCTGTTTAATTTGGAATATCTAAAATTAAGTGATGACTCTTTTTTTTTGAGACAGGGTCTTGCTGTGTCACCCACCTCAAGCAATCCTCCCACCTCAGCCTCCTGAGTAGCTGGGACAACATGCATGTGCCATCATGCGCAGCTAATTTTTGTATTTTTTTATAGAGATGGGGTTTCACCATGTTGCCCAGGCTGTTCCTGAACTCCTGGGCTCAAGCCATCCACCCACCTTGGCCTCTCAAAGTACTGAGATTTACAGGTGTGAGCCACTACACCCAGCCAAAGTGATGACTCTTTATTTTGGAAGTATTTATTTATTCTGGACCCTTTATTTCTTTGATGTATTTTTTAATTCGATTTTATTATCTTATAGACAGATAATTCATTAAATACATAACTAAATGTTTTAACAATATTTTGGTGTGTGTGCTTACTGATATGTTTGTATTCACAAATCAGAAAAAAAAAATTTAATGTAAGAGAGACTTTCGAAAACAATTAAGCCCCGAGGCAGCATCACTCCTCTCTTTACATTCATTTCCTCTGTGTTTGAACTCACCCCATGGTTTTGAGTACTGCCTGTGTGAGAGGACTCCCTAATTAATCATTCCAGCTCTTGATAATCCTCTGAACTTCAAACTTGTGTATCTAACAATGTGATGGACATCTCCACTTGGATAGCTGATAGGCATTTCATACATAACATGTCCCAAGATAAACCCTTGTTTGCCCTTGTCCCACAACTCCCACTAAACTTGCCACTCCTCTTTGTTATCTCATTATGTCTTTTTTCTCCATGGCTGGGACCAAAAATTTTGGAGTCAACAATGACACCCCTCTTTCCCCAACACCCCATAAGCTATCCCTGAGCAAATCCTCTTGATTCAACCTAATTTTCAATTCTTTTTGAGACACTCAAGTAGCAGTTTTAAATGGTTCAACCCAACATATCCAGAATCTGACCATTCCTATGTCCATTGTAATTTCCCTAGTTCAAGCTGTTGCATGAATGATGGCAACATTTGTCTAATTGCATTCTACACAGGGTAGTTCACAGTGATCCTTTTATCGTGTAAGGCTGATCGTGTCATGCCTCTGCCCCAAACCCCCATAGGCTCCCCATTTCACCCACAGTAAAAGACAAAGGTCTCACAATGTTCTACTAAGCCCCACAGTAGCTGACCCCTCATTTCCTTACCTCCCCCAGCCCATGCTTTCTCCCTCTCTTGCTTCATCTCCTGCTATACTCACCTCCCATTTCAATCAAGTCTCACAGTATTAGTTTTCTATTACTTCCACAACAAATGACCACAAATTGCCACACACTTAGCAGCTTAAAGCAACATAAATTTATTATCTCACAGTTCTGTAGTTTGGAGGTCTGAACTGTCTTGGCTGTTTCCTGTGTTGGTAGAATCCAGTGCCTTCAGTCTGCAGGACTGAGGTCCCTGTTTCGTCACTGGTGTCAGCTAGGGCCCACCCTTATCTCCCAGAGGACAATCCTTGCTCATGGGTCCCCATATCTCAGAGCCAGAAACAGTGCATGCTATCCTCATGTTTGGAATCTCTCTGATTTTTCCCTTCTGCTGAATCTCTCTTGCTGCAGCCAGAAAAAGTTTTTTGCTTTTAAGGGCTCATGTGACTCTATTGGACCCACCTGGATAATCTAGGATAATCTCTTTATCTTAAGGTCTGAAATGCCATTTCCGTCTGCAATTTCTTTGCCACATAATGTAACAAATTGACAGGTGCCAGGCATGTGGGCATGGACATCTTTGGGGCACCACTATCTGCCTACCATATGGTCTCTTAGCCACGCATGCTTCCATCTCTGGGCCCATATGCTTGCTGTCCTGCTACCTGGAATATTGTTCCCCCGGTTAATTACGAAGCTCATTACACAGCAGGTCCTTGCCCAGGTATCACCAGATCCTATCAGCCTTTCTGACCAGCCTGTAAAAGAAACATCCCCCATTACACTTTTTTTTACCCCTTAACCTGCTTTTTGTTTTCTTTCTCTAACCACTATCTGACAGAATATATTTGTGTATCTATTATATGTCTCCCTCTACTAAGACCTTTGGGAGCAGAAACTTTGATTTATTCACTCCTGGATTTGCCCTACCTAGACCTGTTTCTTGTACTTGGTAAAATGTTCAATAAATATTTGTTGAATCACCAAAAAAGCCCCAGAGGCCCCACTGCATTAATCATGTTTGGGCAAAAACATGAGTCCACGAAGTGTGAATTTTACCTAAGGAACTATTTTTTTTTTTTAAACTTATTCATAGGAATACCATTAGTTTGTCAAATGCCTTGCTGAGGTCATTATAGCAACTTCTATAGGTATCTCCTGAAGCTCTGAAAGAAAAAAATTTATTGCAGATTTCAAAATACATAGAAAAGGAGAATTCTAATGTTGCCAACACAAAGAAAAGTGTTTGAGGTGATAAATATCCCAATTACCGATTTGATCATTACACATTTTATATATGTATCAAAATAATGACGTACCCCAAAATATGTACAACTGTGATATATAATTGATATATTAATTTTAAAAAAGAAAAGAAGTAGTTTGGCATTACTGTCCTTGGTATACCTAAACTAGCTCAAAGTGTTCATCTCTTTCATCTCTAATTGCTGATAAACTTTTTATTAATCTGTGCTAAAATCTTTAAAGAGCTCGAGATCAAGTCTGTAGTTTTCAAATCACTTTTCATCTTCTTTCAAAATCAGGACATATACCATTTGCAAATTCCTGATATTTCTCTTATACATTTCCTCGTTTAATTATCAACAGCATACCTTAAATCTACAGATGATTCTAGCACCGGAGATATCAATCCCCTCAGAGTTACTATTTCTTCTTTTTCTTTAACTCCTCACCTTAGGATGTTAGCTCTGTTCTTTTTTACTTAAGGTTGCTTTTCTTGGAATAAAGAATGAAACAAAATGAGATTCTGAAGATTTTATTTTTGCCTCCATCTGCACTGAGCGGGAGTCTGAAGACTTTCTCTGAACTTAGCAAAACAGCTTTTTGAGAACCATTAGCCCATTTTTGACATTTAGCCTTCCCTTCCCCATTGTTATGGGTTTCAGCCAGTGACTTTTTCATTTGCAGCTGGTCTACCTTATGCAGTCTTTTCGGTTTCCTATGCATTTCCCCCTTTTCTTTCTTCATGGGCATTATTTTTCATATACGGACAGACTATTTTAGAGTTACCCATTTCTCATGAGCCATTTTCTGTTTTAGATATTTGTCAATGCAAACATACCTATCCCCTTGGAATTAAGACAGGTTTTTTAAAAAAATAATTTTTGAGCACATGCTAAATGTAAGCAAGAAAATGTGCTATATACTGCAGAGCAGTTTTTTCTCAAAATTGGTTCCTGGACCATCTGAATCTGAACCATGGGGTGGTGATAATGGTATTTATTACCATGTAAATTACCAATTACTCAATCAGAATTAGAAGGGGGTAGATGGGAGACTTGGGAATCAACATTTTTTTTTTCTTTATTTCTTACTTGATGAAAAGTTTCCCAAGGAATCAGCATTTTTTTTAGCAAGTTTCTCAGGTTATACTTTTCAAAGCCTGACAACTTTATCTGTCAAGGATATGCAGAAGCATAAGTCCCTGCTGATAAGAAGCTAATGCTATATTTAAGATGCTATGGCATAAAAATAACATAAATAATGAGTGGCACAGACAATCAGCGCACTTGAGTCAGCAAGTGCAGCTGCTGGGAATGGGGTAGTGGGTGTTAAGGCTGGCTTCATAGAGCAGGTGTTTATTGCTCATAAAAAGCACTCAAGAACTGTTTGTTGAATTAATGACAAAAGCTGTGCTGAAAGGTAAAGAAGCCATAATATTGTTTTAGTTGAGAAAGAACTTACAACCCTTTTGTTTTCCCCCATTATCATATAGGTAAAGAAATTGAGTTCCAGAAGAGTAATTGACACAATTGCCCCATGTCACACAACACGGTGGTATTGAAAGAGACAAGAAGGAAAGTTTCCTAACTTCAAACTTTGTGCTTTCTCCACTATCCCGTGAGAGAATTTGGACTGGCTACAAGCAAGGGGTAAGGCATTTTAAGAACTGGAGTAGGCCAGGTGCAGTGTCTCATGCCTGTAATCCCAGCACTTTGGGAGGCCAAGGCGGGCAGATCACCTGAGGTTGGGAGTTCGAGACCAGCCTGACCAACATGCAGAAACCCCATCTCTACTAAAAATACAAAATTAGCCAGGCGTGGTGGCTCATGCCTGTAATCCCCACTACTCAGGAGGCTGAGGCAAGAGAATCACTTGAACCTAGGAGGCGGAGGTTGCGGTGAGCCGAGATTACACCATTGCACTCCAGCCTGGGCAACAAGAGCAAAACTTCACCTCGAAAAAAAAGAGAACTGGAGTAAATTTAGTAAGATGTGTAATAAATGGGTTGTCATTAACCAACAAGGAAGGACAAAGGACTTGATTGAGAGATTGATGAAAGACAGGCTGGAAAAGGCAAGTTAAGATTGTGAGGCTGCGTGTGGCACCTCATGCACCTGACCTCACCATCCTGTAATCCCAACACTTTGGGAGGCCAAGGCAGGAGAATTGCTTGAGCCCAAGAGTCAAGACCATCGGGAAATATGGTCTCTACAAAATATTTAAAAGTAAATAAAAGAGAAGACTGTGAGTCACTTGAATACCAGAGCAAAAGGAGTAGATATTAGAGAGCTGCTAAAAATTTTGAGACAAGATAAAAGCAATGTTAGGAAAATTAACTTGTGGTTGCTACTCGGAAAGATGAGAGAGACAAAAGTTCAGAGCCAGTGAGATGCCAGATTAGGATCCAACTTTGTGGACCATGATGAGAAAATTAAGACCCAGATTGGTAAAAGTATGGATGTGTGAACAAATTTAAAGTTTGGGTCAATACAATATGGAAACAAATCCAATTCTGGTCTAGTTCAGTAGTTTCTTTCTTTTAGTTGATTAAGTTTTTAGTTGATTTTTTCTAAAAGCAAGTAATTCTCTTTTTTTCACACTAATGTAGAACTCAACTTTTCCTTTTCTCAAAGCCCAACTTTTTTTGTGCACAAACAAATCAATACTCAAATAAGAGTTATACACTTAAGAGATTATAAAAGCACCATTTCATTCAGCAAACCTTTAAAAGAAGCATCTACTCTTTGTTAGGCACTGTTCCAAGTTCTGGGCCTTTAGAAATGCATAAGATATGGTCTCTGTTTTAGTCAGGGTTCTCCAGAGAAACAGAACCAATAAGATGTGTATAAATATATATAAAGAGATTTATTTTAAGGAATTGGCTCACACGATTATGAAAGCGGGCAAGTCCCAAGATCTGTAAGATAAGTTGGGAAGCTGGAGACCCAGGGGAGCCACTGGTATAGTTCTAGCCTGGGTCTGAAAGCCTGGGAACCAGGAGAGTCCATGGTGTAGTTCCAGTCCCATTGCCGGCGGGCTTGAGACCCAGGAAGAGCTGACGTTTCAGATGGAGTCTGAAGGCAGAAAAACGTCAATGTCCCAGTTCTTTTTTTTTTTTGAGACGGAGTCTCGCTCTGTCGTCCAGGCTGGAATGCAGTGGCGTGATCTCGGCTCACTGCAACCTCTGCCTCCCAGGTTCAAGCGATTTTCCTGTCTTAGCCTCCCGAGTAGCTGGAATTACAGGCGCACGCCACCACGCCCAGCTAATTTTTTTGTATTTTTAGTAGAGATGGTGTTTCACCATGTTGGCCAGACTGGTCTCGAACTCCTGACCTCAGGCAATCCGCCCTCCTCGGCCTCCCAAAGTGTTGGGATTACAGGCGTGAGCCACCGTGCCCGGCCAATGTCCCAGTTCTTAGAAAGTAATCAGGCAGCAAGAATTCTCTCTCACTTGGGAGAGGGTCAGCCTTTTTGTTCTGCTGAGACCTTCAACTGATTAGAGGAGTCATATCCACAGCATGGAGGGCAATCTGCTTTACTAGGTCTACTGATTTAAATGTTGATCTCATCCAAAAACACCCTCACAGACTCACCCTGAATGATGCTGGGCTAAATAGTTGGGCATCCTATGGCCAGTCAAGTTGACATATACAATTAACCATCACAGTCTCTGTCTTCAAGGAGCTTACAACTTACTGGGGGTAAGAGACAAGGAGGCCAATGAATCACAGCACTTTGGGAGGCCGAGGTGGGCCGATCACTTGAAGCCAGGAGTTTGAGACCAGTCTGGCCAACATAGCAAAACCCCATTTCTACTAAAAATACAAAAATTAGCTGGGTATGGTGATGCAGGCCTGTAGTCCCAGCTGCTCAGGAGGCTGAAGTGGAAGGATCGCTTGAACCTGGGAGGCGGAGAGTGCAGTGAGCCAAGATGGCACCACTGTACTCCAGCCTGGGCGACAGAGAGAGAGAGAGAGACTGTGTCTCAAAAAAAAAAAAAAAAAAAATTAAAAAATTAGCCATGTATGTTGGTATATGCCTGTAGTCCCAGCTACTTAGGAGGCTGATGTCGGAGGATTACCTGAGTCCAGGAGGTTGAGGCTGTGGTTAGCTGTGATTGTGCCACTGCACTCCAGCCTGGGAACAGAGTGAGACCCTGTCTCAAACAAAACAAAACAAAACAAAACCCAAAAAGAAGCAAAAAACAAAACAGACAAATAAAATTGCAACTTGTAATTCATACTCCAATATAGGTCTTTATTTTAATTCTATGAAAACATCAAATGGAGGAGCTGGGCATGGTGGTGGATGCCTGTAATACCAGCTACTTGGAGGCTGAGGCAGGAAGATCACTTGAGCCCAGGAGTTTGAGACCAGTTTGGGCAACATAGTGAGACCCTGGCGCTATAAACAAACAAACAAATAAGCAAATAAATAAATAAATAAATAAAACAAAGTGGAGAGTGATAAACTCTGCCTGTGGAGAAAGGTGAAGTCAATAACGTTACAGGGAAAATAGTTTCTGTTTAGGAAAACACCAAGATGGGCCATTTTATTTATGGCTATCAAGCTATCTGAGCATTGCCAGAATAACCCAGGATGTCTCCAAACTGCCCCAGGTGGGAGGTAAATGGGCTTCCGGGTGTTGGATGTAGTTGGGACATTAAGAGTGAGATTCTAAGAAATCAAGGCTACCCAAAAATATATTGGGCTCTTTCTTGAATTAAAAAAAGACAGTCGAATGAAAGTTTCTAAGATTCAGGATTTATCAAGAGACCTAAGAACAGGAATATGTTATTTTTTACTTCCAAATTAGAAAATTGTATGAAGTGAAAAATTTTAAACATATCCAAAAATAGAGAGCAAAGCACAATGAAGCCCAATATCCATCGAGATTTAAAATTACCAAGATTGTGTCACACTTGCGTAATTGCTTTTTCTTTCTTTGCTAAATATTTGAAAACAAATCTTAGAAATCCTGTCATTTCACTCCTACATACTTCAAGATGCATCCCTAAAAAATATGGTCTTTTAAAAATTCATAATGCCATTTTTACATCTAACAAAATTAATAGTAATTCCTGGTATTTTTGGTATTATGGAATAGCCAGCAATATTAAAATATCCCTGACTGTCTAAAATATTTCTGTATACTGTTGGTTAGTTGAATGGTAACGCAAAGTCCACATATTTAAATGTTTTGACTCTCCTGTCTTTTAAATGTAGAGAAGACTTCCTTCTTCCTTCTTCTTTTTTTTTTTTTTTTTTGGTTTCTCATGGTATTGATTTGTTGAAGAAAATGCATCTATTGTCATTAAAAATGTTCCATATATTGAATTTGTTATAATATTCATTTTAAGTTATTTTTCTGCAATATAATCTACATTTCACTGTATTGTTTCAGAAATTCTGCTTCCTACTCAGCTTTAAGTCAAAGGTAATTATGGGAGCAAAGGAACTTAGGAGATACTTTCCAGGAAGGTAATGGATTACAGAAAAGAGGAAGGAAGTGCAGAATTCGAAACGCAGGGTGTCGAACAAGAAGACAAAGAAAGCAGCAATGGAGAAAGAGAGATGACGCAGAGAGAGATAAGGCAACTCCCTGGCTTCCTTGTACTTACCAAAAAAAGTGAACCAAATTTGAGATTCTCTAAGATAGTTGTAAAAAGATCAGTATTATATTAAAAGAATGATGGAAATCTGAATAGTAAAATGTATTGAACCTACTAAATAGTTTGTTACATTAGCACTGTGGGTTCTTTAGCCTAAATATAGAACTTACCATTTTTTTCTTGAGGAAAAGATAGATTATGACACTTACGGTAGAATCATGTAAAATTCAGTGGTAAATAGGTTCATGTAGTTTTACAGTTCGTTGCTTTTATAGTCTTAGACTATAAAATAAAACAGTTGAACTGAAAATGTCTGCTCTTACCCAGTTTTATCATCCCACTGCTTTTCACGCTCTTTTGCTTTTTGTTGGCCAGCACACTAGTTCGTTTTTAGCCAAGTATTTCAAAGTGTCAAATAAAAGTACTGCTGCAGCCAGGCAGCAGCTGACTTCATTTTTACTCAAGTGTGAGATAGCACTCACAGATGTCAACTTGTATTCTTTTTTAATGAAATAATTTTGATGAATTCTAAATATACTAAAGCATTGTCAGAATCAGCTTTGAAAATTCAGGGTTTAGTAATCAGTGCCAACTCCAGTGACACCTCAAACATACCAAATATTCGTTCTCTTAGAGACCTGGTGAGATTAACATGACAGTATTAATGATTTTAGCTTTCTATATTCACTCTTGGTATTGCTGTCATTTTATACATTTCTCCACATTACTGCCATCTAAGACAGACTCTAAGCTAAAGACATTTATTTGTTTTGCTCAGCTACCCCTACGTGTGGTAGACTAGATACCACTTGATTATGATGACAATTAAAGGAAGATGAGGCTTAAAAAATGCTTGAATTTGGATCACGGCTCACTGCACCCTCTATCTCCTGGGCTCAATAGATCGTTCCACCTCAGCCTCCTGAGCAGCTGGGACCACAGGTGTGCACCACCAACCTGGCTAATTTTTAAATTTTTTGTAGATACAGGATTTTATCATGTTACCCAGGCTAGTCTCGAACTCCAGGGCTCAAGTGATCCACCAGCTTCGGCCTGCCAAAGTGCTTGGGACCACAGGTGTGAGCCACTGCACCCAGCCTGAATTTGGAAATTTCAACAGAAAGCAGCAAACATGTTTGAGAATTTGAGTATAAATAACTTATTTATTTATGTATTTCCAGTTTCAGTACCACATAGTGAGAGATTCAGAGTGGACCATTCGCAGTTGACAAAATTCACACTTCTCCCCAAGAGTTTGAAGGGTTTTATAGTCTGTGTTAAGATTGAAGCCTGAGTGAAAATGTCTGTGAAAAACAAAGTTTAAGAGCTCAGAGGGAAACTTAAGAGAACACCATGTAAGTGAACAGCCTATTAAGAAAGATCAAGGATAAGAAGAACTATAAAAAGAACAGATAAGGAAAGCACTCAGAATAACAGTTGCATATTGATGTGGAGGCTCAACTCAAAGGGGGTTAGAACAGGCTGGTCAAGGTTTCCAAAGCGCGACATTTAGGAGACACAAACAAACTTGGCAAGTCATGTGGTCATTAACCTGTACTTAAAACTGAAGAGAGGCCGGGCGTGGTGGCTCACGCCTGTAATGCCAGCACTTTGGGAGGCCGAGGCGGGCGGATCACGAGGTCAGAAGATTGAGACCATCCTGGCTAACACGGTGAAACCCCATCTCTACTAAAAATACAAAAAATATTAGCCGGGCGTGGGGGCAGGCGCCTGTAGTCCCAGCTACTCAGGAGGCCGAGGCAGGAGAATGACATGAACGCGGGAGGCAGAGCTTGCAGTGAGCTGAGATCGCCACCGCACTCCAGCCTGGGCGACAGAGTGAGACTCTGTTTCAAAAAAATAAAAAAATAAAACTCTGAAGAGAAGGGTGTGAAGGGTTTGAAGGAGGGTGCTCAGATTTGGCTAGGTGTATAATCACAGTGTTCCCAAGGTTTAGGTGGTCTTATTCTCTAAACCTGTGCTAAGACAATTGGATAATGTTGGGGCTCAGAAAACGATGTCTCATAGTGTGGCTCTATAGCATGTTGAACACAGTGAATTAAAGAAAATTGGAAGGCCTGAGAAGCTGCCTCAGAATCAAGGTCTCTCTGATCTTCCTTTGTTTTCTTCCCCCAGGCACAGGGAGAGCTCTCCCTGAAGTTCTGACTGAGGGAATTCCTTCCAAAAGAAACACAATTGTCTTCAATCTCCTGTCTGAAATCTCACTAACCAGGGAAGATTAATCACCAAAGAAGAAATTAAAGATTATCAGCTGGGCCCGGTGGCTCATGCCTATAAGCTCAGCACTTTGAGAGGCCAAGGCGGGAGGATGGCTTGAGCCTAGGAGTCCGAGACCAGCCTGGGCAATATAGTGAGACTCCATCTCTACAAAAAATAATAGCTGGGTGAGTTGGTGCACATCTGTAGTCCCAGCTACTCAGGAGGCTGAGACAGGAGAGTCACTTGAGCTGGGCGGAGGCTGCAGTGAGCTGTGATCGTGCCACTGCACTTCAGCCAGGGCAACAAAGCAAGACCCCTCAAAAAAAATTAAAAGAAAAGATTGTCCCCACATAGTCCCAGACACACTTTTCATCTATTCTTCTGAGGAATGGTGCCTGAGAGACTTTATCTGCGTAATTAGACAGCCTTTGTTCACAGTGCAATTCTGCCACTAAACTTCTCATAAATTGTCACCATCTCTCTCAGAGCCCAGACTAACTTTGTCCCAGGCTATTGTCTGTTCTTTGAGCCAATTCATCTCCCCTAAAAATTATCTATTCTTCCTCTAAAATTACCTACATCCCCTCCTTCCCTCTGCCTTATGAAGAAGGTATTTAACCTTCAATAATCTGGCCCTTCTTTGAGTTTTATACTTTGTCTGACTCCCATGTGCTTGTACATTTATAAATTTGTATGCCTGTTCTCCCATTAATCTGTCTATTGTAAGTTTGTTTATAGATTCGAATTCTCAAACCTTCAGGAGGTGAAAAGAAAGTTCCTTTTGCCCTTACAACAACGTGAGACTAGCTCTGAAGTTTTCATTAGCTATGTGAAGCTTATATCTCAGAATAGCCTCACATACACTGGTAAAGATTAGCAGGTCATTTGGGCTGATGGCATAGTCTGGAATAACAGAGGAGGAAATAAAATTTTAAAAGCTCATGAACCCAAGAGTATGATCTTCAGAGGAGAGATTTCCTATCTCTTAAATTCTACGTAAATAGTGAAGTCCTATATGGGGGGGATCCTTCATCTGGGGCCTACCTTGGGCAGAATAATGTAGTTGTACCTCATTCTATCATAGCTAAAAGACAAAGTACTTTTTAAGACTTTGCAAAATTTTGTTCATGTTGCGTATCTTTTTAAAGTCTGACTCTCTGCACTAAAATAGGATAGCCTAAACAGGGCTCTTTTCGGAGTAAAATTATTATGAGCCCAGTAGTTTTCCCAGTAAGTAAGCTATCAGAACTTACAAAAATATGAGACAGAGCTTTGCAGATGTAGCTAGAGAAAGGTCAGTTGGTGGACTTGAACTTGTTTTTAGTTTATTTATGTATTCTCCAATACTCTAGACTGTTCTAGAAATCACTAGAGAGAAATAATGGTGGTATTCCATGCCTATGATACATCACAGACTACATTTGGAGGACTGCAGAAAGAAGCAAAAACAGAAGTTTCCATAATGAGTGGTAGAGATGTGCTAAATGTCTTCTTTTTCAAACTTTAATTTTTAATTTTTAATTTTTTTTAGAGATGTGATATTGCTATATTGCCCAGGCTATAGTGCAGTGACTATTCACAGGTGCAGTCATAGTACACTGCAACCCTGAACTCCTGGGCTCCAGCAATCCTCCTGCCTAAGCATCCTGAGTAGTTAGAACTACAGGTGCATGCCACAATACTGGGCTTAATGCCTTCTTTACTGATCCTTGATGGTAAAGGGGAAGACCATTTTAGAACCTTTGATTCCTTGGACATAATCCCATGGTACTGCTCTTTAATAAAGATAAATTATAAGGAATTGGATTCTATAGGGAAGAAATGGATGGAAGTTGTAACAAAATGTAATAGTAATGAAATATTAATAGAAAGGCCTAAATAGAATCTGTGGCATAACTCTCAAAATAGTCCTTTAATAACCTCCTTTTGAAAATATCAAGGTTAAGACCTAGAGACGTAAAGTCCTGCCCAAAGTCAATTGTCTGGTTAGTGGCACACAGAGCACTAAAGTTTACATCAGCAGGTTCCCAGTTCAGTACATCTTCTAGAGCTTCTAAAAATTAATGTGAAGATAGTCTTTGCTCTATTGAAGCATAATTATAAACATCAAATATTTGTAAAATATCTTCTATATAGTAGGATGTTTTTCCTTTTATTTATTAGTAAATTTACCACAATATTAATTTAGTTAGTAAATTAGAATTTTTCTTTCCCATTCATCATTTATGTCACCAGCAGGTAATCCTACTCCATCCTCCCACCACATCTCATTTCATTATCACCTGGCCTCCAGAGGGTGGAATCACTTGGGCACTGCTCAAGCTTATGAGATCTTAAAATTTATTTTTAAAATATTTCAAATCAAAAAGTTTTTGAGCTGTGAAATTTAATAAGATATTGAGCTTTCTTCTAGCCTTTTATCCACTAATTCTACTCTTAGAAATTACTTCCTAAAAAAATACTTTTTAAGAAAACCACACACACACAAAATGTCCTCTAACTTTGTTCTTTTTTCTTCCAAGTTGTTTTGTCTGTTCTAGATCTTCTGCACTTTAATTTAAACTTTAGAGTCAGCTTGCTACTTCTACAAAGTAGCTGGCTGGGATTTCTATTAGAATGCCTTGAATATACAGATCAATTTGGAAGAAATGACGTCTTAACAATATAGAGTCATCTAATCTAGGAATATGGTATATTTCTTAATTGACTTAGGTCTTCTTTAACATTTAATTTTACTCAGCAATGTTTTATAGTTTTCAGTGTACAGGTCTTGAACATCTTTTGTCGAATTTATCCTTAAGTATTTTACAGTTTTGATGCCACTGTACATGGCAAACTTTAATTTTAATTTCTGATTGTTTATTGCTAATATAAAGAAATGCAATTGGTTTTTGATATTGACTTTGTACCCTGCCACTGAACTAAACTCACTTTCAGTTTTAACAGCTTATTTGCAGATTCTTTAGGGTTTTTTGATAGATGACAATATCGTCTGTGAATAAACAGAGATTTATGTCTCCCTTTCCAGTCTATTTGCTTTTTATTATTTCTCTTTCCTTATTAGAGTGTTAGAACCTCCAGGATAATGTTGAATAAAAATAGCGGGAGTGGCCATCTGCAATGGTTAATTTTTAAAATTAATTAATTAAGTTGCTTCCAAAGGATGCAGTGTTGGAAGATGGCTCCAGACTTTGAATCCTGTTTTTGGGCAGTAAGATCAAAAGCTGAAGGCAAAAGGTATATACTAACTGATTCTGTCCCTTTTCATTAGGAATAAAATAGCTTTCCTGGAAGATCTAACCAGTAAATGTTCATTTACATTTCATTAATCAGAAATGAATTACATGTCAACTAACGTCACGTTGGGAGGTATCTGGGGAAATAAGTTTTTGTAACTGGGTATTTTGCTGCGTCAAAGAAAATCGAGGTTTAGAAGGTAGGAGAGAGGTTATTGGGTAATTAGCAGACATGATATTGATACTAACAGTTGCTGTTTCATTTATCTAATGCTGTGCAACAAAACATGGCAAAGTCTAGTGACTTAAACAACGACGACATTTAATACGCTCAGGTCTGGATTGCGACAGGGATCAGCTGCAGTGGCTCAAGGACTAAGGCTGGAATAATCTGAAATCTTGCTTCCTCACATGTCTGGGAGTTGATTTTGGCTGTTAGCTGATGGCTCCACTGGGACAGTGCCTGGAACACCTTCACTGGCTCCTCTATGCAGCTGCTTGGCATCTGCACAGAATGGTGGCTGAGCTGCTTTTTATGACTCAGCCTTGGATATCACATGGTGTTACTATTGCTGTAGTCATAGGCTTACCTCTCTATTCAAGGGGAGAGGACCTGACCCCACATTTTTTTCTTTAAGTCTCCTATCGCTTTTTTTTTTTTTTTTTTTTGAGACAAGTCTCACTTTGTCACCCAGGCTGGAGTGCAGTGGTGCGATCTCGGCTCAATGCAACCTCCACCTCCCAGGTTCTCCTGCCTCAGCCTCCCGGGTAGCTGGGATTACAGGCTCCTGCCACCACGCCAGGCTAATTTGTTTTTGTTTTTTTCTTTTGTATTTTTAGTAGAGACAGGGTTTCACCATGTTGGCCAGGCTGGTCCCAAACTTCTGACCTCAGGTGATCTACCTGCCTGGTCCTCCCTGAAGGCTGGGATTACAGGCCTGAGCAACTGTCCCCGGCCAGACCCCACTTCTTGACAGTAGAATGCCAGATACAATTTGCCCGAAAGTGCTTACATGCCCATGCGCTAATGTCTGAACAAGGTTGTTTCACTTCTACAAATGTTAGCCAAAACACTCTTTTTCCCTCCCTCCCTCCCTCCCTCCTTCCCTTCCTTCCTTCCTTCCTTCCTCCTTTCCTTTCTTCCTCCCTTCCTTCCCTTTTCCCAGATAATTTTTTTAAAAAGAAAAATTGGGCCATGTTGTTTGCTCACTTAAAATGTTTCAATACTTCTCATTATAAATCAAATACAGCCAGGCGTGGTGACTCGCGCCTGTAATCCCAACACTTTGGGGGGCCAAGGTGGGTGGATTGATACCTGAGGTCAGGAGTTCCAAAACAGCCTGGCCAACACGGTGAAACCCTGTCTCTACTAAAAAACACAAAATTTAACCGGGTGTGGTGGCACAATCTGTAGTTCGAGCAACTCAGCAACTCAGGAGGCTGAGGTGGGAGAATTGCTTGAACCTGGAGGTGGAGGTTGCAGTGAGCTGAGCGAGATCTCACCACTGCACTCCAGCCTAGACGACAGAGCGAGAACCTGTTTCAAAAATAAATAAATAACTAAAAAGAAATAAATCAAATACAATTTTTTTTTTTTTTTGCTGCAGTTTATGAGGCCTGGTTTATCACTCCAATTTCATCTCATTTTATTCTGCCCTCTCCTTGCTGTGCTTCTGTTACTGGACATGTCAGATCCACAAACATATCTGCCTCTTTTGCTCTACTGCTTTGCACATGCTCTTTGCTCCTCCTGGGACATTTCCTCCAGCACATTGAATGGGCCAGCCCCTGCTCGTTCCTCACTTCTCAGGGGACCTTTTAATAGATGACCAGCTAAGACATTACATATCAACGTTTATGTTTACTAATTTATTGTTTATTTCCCCCTGTGATATAAAGTTTCACAGCCACAGAAACCTTGCCAGTTTGGTCACTATTGTATATCTGTTAGTAGTATGTTTGGCATGTCATCATAATCTGATGAACTAGATACTGTTATTATCAATAGGAACTGAAGCCCAAGGCTCAGAAATGGCACAGCCACACTGGAATCCAGGTTCTCGGACTCCAGAAGCAATATTCGTATTTGCCCTGCTCTGGATGATTTAGCAAAAGAGGGAAAGGATGCATCGGTTGAGTGTGTCATAGTTAATTGAGAAAGGACTCCATGAAGGCAAGGCCACTTGAGCAGGGCCTTGAGTGATGCATATGCATACATTTTGTCAGATGGTGATTGAAAAAAAGGGTATTACAGGTGGTGGGAAGAGTGTGAACAGAAATAGAGTTGAGAAAGCACTTGTACAGTCTAAGAATAGTGAGTAATTGTAGAATAGGTTGTGGAGGATTTAAAACTGGAAAGGTAGGTTGCATCATTCTGTAGGTAATTAGAAGACATTAACATTGTTTTGTGAAGAGGAGACTCCATCTGTGCTTTAGAAAGCTAAAGCTGCACAGGCAAAGTGTAAGGAGTCAGATGTTGGTCTTGAACAAATCGTATATATACCTAGAATATCATTTTACTTATTTATAAAATGGAAGCTGAGTGCAATGGCTCACAACTGTGATCCCAACACTTTGGGAGGCTGACATGGGAGGACTGCTTGAGGCTAGGATTTTAAGACCAGCCCAGGCAACAGAGTGAGCCCCTTTCTCACAAAAAGTAAAAAATAAATACAATTTGAAAGATGAGAATATAAATAACATCATGTTCATAGTTTTTGGTGAGAGTTAAATAAGATGATCATGTGAAAGTACTTTGCAAACTATAAAGCACTACACAAACATTAGCATTTTCATCATAAGTGTTCTGGGTGGTCCTGGGGTAGGGAGAGTGTACAAGTAGGCACATAGCCAGAGTAGTTGGGCAATGGCAGAGATCCAGGTAAAATGTGACCAAGGTCTAAAAGAGGATAAGATAATAAGATAACATTGTCCACAAAATCAAGTTTAAGTAGGTTGTATTAGTCCATTCTTGCACTGCTGTAAAGAAACATCTGAGGCTAGGTAATTTACAAATAAAAGAGGTTTAATTGGCACAGTTTTGCAGGCTGTACAGGAACCATAGCAACTTCTCCTTCTGGAGAGGCCTCAAGAAATTCACAATCATGGCAGAAGGTGAAAGAGAAGCAGGCACATCTTACATGACGTGAGCAGGAGGAAGAGAGAAGTGGGAGGTGCTACCCACATTTAAACAACCAGATCTCATGAGAACTCACTATCATGAGAACAGCACTAGGGGAATGGTGCTAAACCATTAATGAGAAACCACCCCCATGATTCAATCACCTCCCACCACACCCCACCTCCAACATTGGAGATTACAATTTGACATGAGATTTGGGTGGGGACACAGATCCAAACCATATCATTCGCCCCTCGGCCCCTCCCAAATCTCATGTTCTTTTCACATTGCAAAATATGATCATGGCTTCCCCACAGGCTCTCCAAAGTCTTCATTCATTTCAGCATTAACTCCAAAGTCTCAAATCCAAAGTCTCATCTGAAATCAGGCAAACTCCTTCCACATATAAGCTTGTAAAATAAAAAACAAGTTAGTTACTTTCATGATACAATGAAGGTACAGGTATTGGGTAAATACTCCTGTTCCAAAAGGGAGAAATAGGCCAAAAGAAGGGGCTACAGGCCTCACAGAATTCCAAAACCCAGCAGAGCAGTAATTAAACCTCAGAGCTCCAAAATAATCTTTTGGACTCCATGTCTCACATTCAGGTTATACTGGTGTAAGGGGTGGCCTCCCAAAGCCTTGGGCATCCCTGCCCCTGTGGTTTTACAGGGTTCAGCACCTGCAGCTGCTTTCATGGGCTAGCATTGAGTGCCTGAGCTTTTCCAGGCACACAGTGCAAGCTGTTGATGGCTCTACCATTCTGGGCTCTGGAGGATAATGGCCCTCTTATCACAGCTCCACTAGTCAGTGCTCCAGTGGGGACACTGTGTGGGGGGCTACAACCCCACATTTCTCCTCTGCACTGCTGTAGTAGAGGATCTCTCTGAGGGCTCCACCCTGGCTACAGGCTTCAGCCCGGACAGCCAGGCTTTTTTGTACATCCTCTGAAATCTAGGCAGAGGATCCCAAGCCTCAATTCCTGCACTCTGTGCACCCGCAGGCTTAGCACCATGTGGAAGCCACCAAGACTTATGGTTTCCACCCTCTGAAGCAGTGACCCAAGCTGTACCTTAGCCCCTTTTAGCTAAGGCTGGAGCTGGAGAAGTTGGGATGCAAGGGGAGCAGGGTCCCGAGGCTGTGCAGGGCAGTGGGGCCTTGGGCCCAGCCCAGAAAATCATTCTTCCCTCCTAGGCCTCTAGGCTTGTGATGGGAGGATCTGCTGTGAAGGTCTCTAAAATGTCTTTGAGGCCTTTTCCACAGTGTTTTGGCTAACAGCACTTGGCTCTTTTTCACTTATGCAAATTTCTGCAGCCTGCTTGAATTCCTCCCCTAAAAATGAGTTTTTCTTTTCTACCACATGGTCAGGCTCCAAATTTTCCAAACTTTTATGCTCTGCTTCCCTTGTAAATATAAGTTCCGATTTCAGGTCATTTCTTTGCTCACAAATATAAACAAAGGCTACTAGAAGCAACCAGGCCACATCGTGAATGCTTTGCTGCTTAGAAATTTCTTCCACCAGATACACTAAATCATCACTCTCAAGTTCAAAGTCCTACAGATCCCCAGAGCAGTGGCACAATCCAACCAAGCTCTTTACTAAAGCATAGCAAGAGTGACCTTTACTCCAGCTCCCAATAAGTTCATTATTTCCATCT
Organism: Homo sapiens; assembly: GCF_000001405.40. Taxonomy (NCBI): domain Eukaryota; kingdom Metazoa; phylum Chordata; class Mammalia; order Primates; family Hominidae; genus Homo; species Homo sapiens. Next base: position 37,554 of record NT_187627.1, read on the forward strand.
GATACCCCCTTAGCCTGGACTTCATGTCCATATCACTATTGGCATTTTGGTCACAACAATTTAACAAGTCTCTAGGAAGTTCCAAACTTTCCCTCATCTTCCTGTCTTCTTCTGAGCCCTGCAAACTGTTCCAACCTCTGCCCATTACCCGGTTCTAAAGCTGCTTCTGCATTTTCAGGTATCTTTATAGCAATGGCCCACTCCTTAGTACCAATTTTCTGTATTAGTCTGTTCTTGCGCTGCTATAAAGAAGTACCTGAGGGTGGGTAATTTATAAAGAAAAGAGGTTTACTTGGCTCACAGTTCTGCAGGCTGTCTGGGAAGCCTAGTGGCTTATGCTTCTAAGGAGGCCTCAGGAAATTTACAATCATGGCAGAAGGTGAAGGGGAAGCAGGCACATCTTACAGAGCCCAGCAGAAGGAGGCTAGAGAGGTGGGAGGTGCTACACACTTTTAAACAATCAGATCTCATGAGAACTCACTCACTATCATGAGAACAGCACTAGTAGGATGGTACAAAACCATTCATGAGAAACCACCCCCATGATCCAATCACCTCCCAACAGGCCCCACCTGGGAGGGCCCTCAATTTGACATGAGATTTGGGCAGCCACGCAGACCCAAACCATATCAGGTTTATATTCATAAAGCTCTTAGAAGATCACCTGGATGATAACTCAAAATAAGTGATTATATATACACATCAATCTATCCACCTATCCATCTATGTTTGCCAAGTAATAGAAATGCAAAAGACATTTAATGATGAAACCAATCAAGATTATATTCTTTATTATATGAAGGCCATTTGCAGAGAGGAAAGAATCAAGGTTAACAAAAAATTGTAACACAGAGTGCCTGGGAGAATGTTCATTAACTGAGATAGGGAAGAAACAACAGTTTTTAGAAAAGATTAAGACTTACTTTGAAGATGATAGCTTGTCTATAAAAAACACATATCAAGTGTTCAAAAGCTTGTTGAAAATGGAGACATAATATACAGGATGGAAGGAGCTCATGGTCAGAAGAATAGATCTTGGGATTTTTGCTTATAATTAAAGTATTTTGTTGTTGTTTTTTTGTTTTGTTTGAGATGGGGCCTCGCTCCATCACCCAGGCTGGAGTGCAGTGGAACCATCAGGGCTCACTATAGCCTCAATTTCCCAGGCTTAACTGATTCTTTCATCTCAGCCTCCCCAGTAGCTGAGACTATGTGTGCACCACCACACCCAGCTAACTGTTTTTTTGTTTGTTTGTTTGTTTGTTTGTTTGTTTTGGTAGAGATAATGGCTCCCTATGTTGCATAAGCTAGTCTCAAACTCCTGGGCTCAAGTGATCCTCCCACCTTGGCCTTTCAAAGTTCTGGGATTACAGGTGTGGGCCGCTATGCTCAGCCTGGTTAGTTGAAGTTTTGGATCAGACTATCAAGAATAGAAAGAAAGCAGGTTAGAGAAAATGTTCAAGGGCAGACCCTTAGAGCTATGCTTCTCAAGCTTTACATGTACATGAATCATCTGAGCAGGTACTTAAAATTCAGATCCTGGGATTCTGATTCAGCAGGTTCTTAGAAGGGGCCTGAGATGCCATATTTCTGACAAGCTTGCAGATCACTGCCATATTGTTAGTCCATGGCCACAGAGCAGCAAGTCCCTCCAACCTGGTGTACTGAGGCATGACTAGAAAATTCAGGGCCAGGGTGGAGTAGGAGTAAATGGAACTTGAGAATGCAATATAATTAATAAATGGAGAAGAAAGTTTCCAAAAAAGAAAAAAAGAGAGAGAGAGAGCAAGAGAGAGAGAGCTTCTTAGTGCAAGGACAATAATTGAAGTTGTTAATTTTGGCAATTAAGCCAAAAGGTATAAATGGGAGAATAGTTTAAGTAGATGAAAGATGGAGGTCAGATTACACATAGCAGGTAGAAAAACTGAGCAGTGATTGTAAACCAGCCAGTGGAAAATTCAGCAGAGAAAGAAAGATGGGTAGTGGCTGGTAGCTCAATAGGGTAGTAACTTTATGAGAAGTATTGCTTTTAGGAGCAAAAATACTCTAGTGGAGAAGAAAAGAGAAAGAAGAGAGGAGGACAGACAGAATATGCCCTAGAGAACAAAAGGAGGACTTAAATCCAATCACAGGCAAAAATTAGACTTGGAAAGAGGATAGGTGAAAAATACAGAGATGATTTCAAGCAGAGGAGAGGCTAGGAAATAGATACATTAATTTTCAATAATTTTATCTGCTGAGAGTGGGGTACAGAACTAAGACAGATGATTCAAGGAGCATAGAAAATATTTCTAATAGTCTTTCTGGGTGACATGACAAAAAACAAAGAAGAGTGAAATAAAGATGGCCCTACAGAATGAGGACACATTGAGGCTAGATAGCATGAATTCATAGTGATGCCAAATGGCACCATTACATGACTTTCTCAAGCAATGCACAGATGCTTACAAATGAAACAGAAGTAGATGGCTGGGCTTATACAGGTGTTGGGAGATGGACAACACGAGAAAGTCATGCTGCTCACATTTTAATATCTTTGATTGTTGCTTCACAGTTGGGTAAAGAGCCAAGTGAAACCAGGAGAGAGGGAAGAATCAGTGGTTCAAAGCAACGTGATACAGAAGAATGAACACCAGACGGATAGACTGAGAACCAGGAGACTTAGGTTCCAATTCCAGTTCCACTTTCTAGATGGCTGACTTTGTCCCTTCACCTTCATAATAAAAGTGTTGACGTAAATCAGTTAAAAACCTTGGCTATGCATAGAATTGCCTGGGGATGTTTATACAATATTATTCCTGGTCCCTATTTTAGAACAACAAAATCAGATTAGGAGATGTCAACTGGATATCTATGTTTTTAAAGCATGTCAGGTGATTTCTATTAGATAGCCAGGGTTGAGGACAACTAGGAAAGATGATCTCTAAAGTTTATTTTTCTTTCTAGTCTTTTTTAGATTCTCCAAGAAAGACAATGGTAAGACCAGAGGCAAAATCAAATTCAGTAATAGTGGATATCCTTAGTCCATTAAGGCTGCTATAACAGAATAAACTGGTTGCCTCATAAACAACATAAATTTATTTCTCACAGTTCTGGGGCCTGAGAAGTTCAAGAGGAAGGTGCTGGCAGATTTGATGTCTAGTGAGAGCCCACTTCCTGGTTCATAGATGCTGCCTTTTTGCTGTGTCCTCATGTGATAGAAGAGGTCAGGAGGCTCTCTAGGGTCCCTTTTATAAGGTCACTAATCCCATTCATGAGGGCTTCTCCCTATGGCCTTATCACCTCCCAAAGGTACCACCTCTAAATACTACCACATTGGGGATTAGGCTTCAACATATGAATTTTGGGGGACATAAACATTCAGTCAAGTGCAGTGAGTGATAAGAAATGTTGAAAAAATAGATCAGAAAGTGCAATGTCAGGGCAATGATGAGGTTGGGGGAAAGGCCTTTTATGTGGGTGGCGAACACTACCTAGGGTTAAATGCTGTGGCAGCACAGAAATAGATTTTATTCTTTTTCCATGAAGAACTTATAGAGTTCAGATGTCCCTTCCAAATCTCATGCTGGGATGTAATCCCCAGTGTTGGAAATGGGGCCTGGTGAGAAGTGTTTGGCTCATGGGGGTGAATTTCTCATGAATGGCTTGAGCCATCTCCTTGGTAATAAGTGAGCTCTCACTCTGAGCTCACATGAAATCTCGTCGTTTAAAAATGTGTGGCACCTCCCCCCCACACACATTGCTCTTGCTCTCTTGCTCTCTCTCTCTCTTGCTCCTGATTCTGCCGTGTGGGATGTTTGTTCCCCCTTTGCCTTCTGCCATGACAGGAAGCTTCATGAGACCTCCCCAGAAGCAGATGCCAGTATGCTTCCTGTACAGCCTGTAGAACCATGAGACAAACTTCTTTTCTTATAAATTACCCAGTCTCAGGTATGTCTTTATAGCATTGCAAGAATGGCCTAATACAGGGATATTATGCAAAGAATCTGTAGAATAAAAGCCATAGTCAAAACAGTGGACAGCATGTGGGATCTAGCCAGAGCCAATCTCAGCACTTACAGACTGGGCCACAGACTAACATAAATGGTCACCTGGCAGCTGAGCCCAGGGTGAAATGACAAAACCACAGAAACTTATTGGCTATTAATTCCTTTCATGTCTCTCATGTCTGTCACCCTCAGGTCTGGAATGCAGGCTCCTCAGCGGTCTCTCTCCTTCGTATTTTCTTCTCCATCCTGCTCTGTGATTCATTTCTCTGGGTCATCTTCCTATCACTTCCGATGGCTGACCTCTCTCACAATTCTTCTACTACTCTCTAGAAATTTCATTCTATTTTCTATGACATCCGCAGTGTCTTTGCAGAACTTACTATGTTCCTGTCCTAATGGAAATTTGGCTTTTCCTTGATGTCATCACTTCTCTGGCAGTTTTCTCTGAAAAAGCTGGCCATTCTTCCTTTCTGTATCTCTGGGCCAGGAGATGATAGTGACTTAGACCTTCATGGTCACTTCCAAAGTTTAACTCTACAATCTTATCCAAAAAGCCCTCTTTCCTTGGTTGTATGACATCTAAGTCTAACATGCACTACCCTGCATCAACTAATCTGGTCACTTCCACAATCAATTAGAACTAAGACAAGTGGTTCCTCATCAAAAAGAATATGAAATGAAAATGGCCTTCCCTATATGTCTTCCAGTCTCTTATTACTTTACTTTGGAAGCAACTTTTATCACCAGCTTTTGGATATCCTTTAAAGGTATTTTGTGCAAATATAATCACATGCATAGATATGCACATATAAATGCATGTTTATATAAATTTTTGGTTTCTTAAAGATAAACAAATGGTAGAAAATTATATATCCTGTTCTAAAACCTTTCTTTTTTTAAACAAAATATTTTAAAGGCTTTTTCTTATCAATGCATACAAACTTTTCTTTTAGAAATATTACTGCATAATATTTTATGTGGATGTTCAATAATTTATTTGACCTGTCCCCTACTGATGAACAACTAGATTCATTCTAGTGTTTCTAGTCTTCTGCTATTGCAAACAAGGCTTCTATAAATAACATTCTACTGATGTCACCTTTTACTTTTACAAGTTATTTGGGTCAAAAGTTATTTGCTTTTTAAAAGTTTTGATAGATACTGAAAAAATTATACTGCATGAGCTGTGCACTAATTTATATACCCATTAACTACGTTTAAAAGAACCAGTTTCCCATTAGCCTTGCTAACATAATATTTTACACTTTTTTTTTACTTTGCCAAGAACATAATTGAAAATATTTCATTGAAATTTTAATTTATGTTTTTCCTATGTTGAGTGAAGTTGAGCATCTTTGCAAATGTTTAACACTGTACTTTCTTTCCTGGACATCTCCCCTGCCTATTTTCCTATCGTTTTATTGCAAGTCTTTCCATAGTAAGGAAAATAGACTTCTACTAAAATATGAGTTGCAATAATTTTTTCTCAGTTTGTTGAATTGTCATTTTGGTGTTTGTCATGCAGAACAATTTTATTTGCATGTCGTTTAGTTTATAAATCTCTTCATTTTGCTATCTATATTTTATATCATACTTTATACTTGTTCTATTTTGGATAATTTTTTAAAAATTATTTTAACACTTCCATCTTTTTTTTATTTTTTATTTTTTAACACAAATCATTGGTCCACCTGAAATCCTAGTCTTCTTTCCAACTCTTGCCTCGATCGTGGATCACTTCAGTGTTGACGTCACCTACACAAACCCCACCCACCATGTTCCCGGATCTCCTCTGCTCAGACAACCACCTCCCTTCTCACCTCTCATGACAACATCCTGGAGTGTCTTATCCTTGTGTGATGCTTCTCCATTTCTAAAACTGTAAAACTCTCACATTCTATTATTCTCACTCCCTCAACATAATCTCTTATCCTTCTTGGTCTCTTGCTCTCTTAGTTCTGTTACATATTTGTAATAGTTTCATTTAAACCTCAGATGTTTCAAATCTCCCTTTTCTCTCATATGTCTGCCCTTGCTAGGCAGGGCCACATCATTACGTAAGCACTTTTGCCTTTTGGGGCCCCTTCCTCCATAAAAGAATATTAAAAGGTACATTTTATGATTACCTTATAAAGATAAATATATTACTATGCATAAAAACATTTTTTTGGTGTGAAAGTTTTTTTTATTCTGATTCTAAAAATAAAATAAAACATTTTTGTGGGCCCCAGAAGCCTAGTGAACCCCAGGTTCCATTCTTACTATGTGTAAAGTATCAGTCAGCTCTGCTCCTAGGCACTGATTGACTACTACCTTTTTAAAATTGAGACAGGGTCTCACTCTGTCTGGAGTGTAGTAGTGCGATCTCAGCTCATTGTAACCTCTGCCTCCAGGGCTCAAGCAATCCTCCCACATCAGCCAGCCTCCCAAGTAGTAGTTTTTTTTGTATTTTTGGTAGAGAAAGTGTTGCCCAGGCTGGTCTCAAACTCCAGGACTCAAGCTGTACGCCTGCCTTGGCCTCCCAAAATACTGGGATTACAGGCATGAGCCACCGTGCCTGGCCAGAACCACTTTTCTCCCTTGGCCCTCTTCTCCCTTGGCCCTTGTTTTCCCTGTGTATCTGCATTGCCCACCTCCAACCCTAGATAAATCTGTTGAGCTCTACTAGAGAAAATTATAAAGAGGGCTGATGCTATCAAAGATTTAGGGTCTATGACATAAATTGGGCCCTCAACACTGCTTAACCATTTTTCTACTTGTCCCTGATGAATTTTTTGTTTCATTCCTCAAATTAATCATTCCAAATCATTTAGCAGTCTCCCCAGCTAAGAGAAAATAGTGTAAATTATCTTAATTCCCTGTCCTTTCATATTCTGATTAGCCCTGACTAAGTAGCAAAATAACCCAAGATGTAGTGGCTTAAAACAAAATTTATTTTTCTTTCAAGAGTCTGTGTACTGACAGCACGGCGGGGCAGTTCTTATTGTGGGTCTCTTATGTGACCTCCATCACCATATTGAAACTATTCTTTTTTGGTCACTAAAGACTTCTCAATTGTCTAATCTAATAGGTACTTTAAAACCTTTATCTTAACCTTTTCATAATATTTAAAGATATTGATCACTCCCCTGTTCTTGAAACTATTTGTGGGCTTTTCTGAATCTTAGTTTTCCGTATGACTTCTTGGTACAATATGGATGGTGAAGTCTTAGAGAATGAAAATAAAGAATAGGATAGTGTATTAGTTTCCCACGGTTACTAGAACAAATTACGACAAACTTGGTTTAAAACAACAGAAATTTGTTCTTTCATGCTTCTGGAGGCCAGAGGTCCAAAGTTAGCATTGGTGGGCTGCAATCAAGGTGTTGGCAGGGCCATGTTTCCTCCAGAAGTTCCAGAAAACAATCCGTTTCTTGCCACTTCCAGCTGCTGGTAGCTGTCAGAATCCCTTGGCTTGTGGGTACATCACTCCAATCTTCAAAGCCAGCACCTTAAATCTCTCTCTCTCTTCCATCTTCATATTGCTTTCTCTCCGTGTGTGTCAAATCTCCTCTTGCCTCTTTCTTATAAAGACACACGTGACAGCATTTAGGGATCACACAGATAATCCAAGACAATCTCTTCAACTTGACATCCTTTATTTAATCACATCTGCAAAGACATTTTTTCAAATAAGGTGACATTTATAGACTTCAGGGATTAGATCATGAATATCTTTCAGAGAACCATTTTTCAGTGTCATATTGGAGAATAAAACTGACCTAGGAATTCCAAACTATTTTGAAAGTCATGGATAATTGGCTGAGGTGAATCTAGCTAGTGTAAACAAATACATGAATTTCAAAAGATCAGTACAAATCATTCAGAGTGTTTTTTGTTTGTTTTAAGAAAAGACTGGAAGCTGTACTCTGGAAGAAGAAAATGGTGACTCTCTTGCAGGTTTAAGACTAGTAGAAGGAAGTGGCTGTCACTGAAATGGGCTTCAAGGGAAGAAATCAGGAGAAAGCTAAATTTCAGTTAGGACAGGAAGGTAGTGTAGGGGGGCTTGGAGCACTCCTGTAGTCCCAGCTACTTGAGAGGCTGAGGCAGAAGGATCATTTGAGCCCAGGAGTTCAAAGCTCTAGTGTGCAATGATTCGTGAATAGCCACTGCACTCCAGGCAACAAAGTGAGACCCTGCCTCTGAAAAACAAAAATAACAAAGGTAGAAGTAGCATTAAGTGAATATTGACCTTGATATAACAGTTATGATAAAATGAAATCTTGTTAGTGTAGGGAGAGACTATCATAAGTTAATTTGAAATAGTATTTATTTCAAATTTATATAGTGGTAGCAGAAACCACTAGAATAGATACTGTATAGTTAATGCATCAGTAATTAATTACTGTTGATATGGAAAGACTATTCAAATTTCAAACAATAGTGCTTAACTGTGCACTTATTCAGTAACTATAATTAAACAGAATTAATTGAATTGATCATCTAATGAACATAGTGATCTTTAGAAGTCTGACATCACATAGCTGTAGAACAATTGTCCCAGGAGACTCTTTTGAGCCCTGACCTATCAGGGGGTAAGCATACTTCCTCATGTTATCAAGTAGTCATTTACATATACAGCTCCTTAAATCCAATTTTAAACTGTTTTCTTCTTCTTTACTTTCAATCTAAAACAGTAAAAATTTTAAAGGCAGTTAATTGTTAATGGTAATAAAATCATATTTTAAATTACCATGAATTTGCTTTGAAGTGTAGAGACAGTTTTTAGTGTTGAACACGGTAGACTGAAATTCAAAAAGAACAAAGTCAAAAATGCACCACAATTGCTCCTGAAGCAGAGGCTATTGATTTCTTGCCCATTATCTCATCACACAGAAAGTGAAGGGAGAAAAATACAAGTTCAAAGACACCAGCTACTCAGGTAACAGGCAGGAGCTTCAAGTGAAAATTTCTGCCTCATTAAAAACATTTAAAGGAAGCAGCTTTTCTTTAAGTAGGAATCATTATTCCCAGTTTGAGTTCATCCTCTGGAGTTTTCACCTCTTCAGAAGGGCACATTCTGTGCAATTTCTAAGAAGTGCTTCTTTAATGGGAGGGATTTATGTTAAGTTGGTTCAGGGGAGGTAGACCATTGTGGAGCCTTTTTAATGGACTACAAAAGACTGTCGAGTAATTAAATAGATTTCCTTTCCCTTAGACTGTTCCATGGTTCTAAAAACACTCAGCTGAGCATGTAAAATCAATTTCCATTACTGGCCTTGACCTTTGCAGTTTTGTAAACATGTTTTTTCCCTGGCTTTGGAATGTGGTTCAAAGGCAATAGCAGAAGACTAGAGGATGAGACAGGTTCTCTTAATGGAAGTTAACTTTTTTTACAGTGAAAATCTCCTTTTCTCACAGACATTCATTCAACTGCATATGTTATAAATATAATTATATACATACCTGCTTATTTATGTTTATATACATATGTATATGTGTATTTAAATTGGAGTATATAAATATATGTATGTATTTTTTTTAATTGACAAATCATAATTGTATACATTCATGGGGCACCATGTTATGTTTTATGTATCTATACAATATGAAGTGACTAAATCTAGCTAATTAACATATCCATCACCTCACTTACTTATAATTTTTTTTTGTGGTGAGACATTTGAAATTTACTCTAAGTTATTTTGGAATATACTATACAATACTGACTGTAGTTACTCTGCCGTGCAATAGATTTCGAAACTTATTTCTCCTAATCATACATTTGTGCCCTTTGACCACCAACTCCCCATTCCCTGCCCCCACAAAATATAGGAAGTTATACATCTTTTTGTTTTCCTCCACAGATACGTGTTTCGTTTTCACTGCTCAAAGGTATTTTCCCCCTTCCCATTCCAAGAAAATAGCCACGCCATTGTGTTCCAGGGGCTTTGGATGGTCGAATGGAAAGCAGGTGTTCCCCAAGAACAGCTTCATTCCATTTTTGTTTTGTTTTGTTTGGATGATTAGACCTACTGCAGGGATTATGCCACATCACGTAGAGTGGAGGAAAAGAAAGATGAGGTCTTCTAGGGGGTGCTGGGAGGTGGAGGCAGAATTGACTTCAGGTAGCAAATTCCTCGAGACAAGAAGGAAGGGAGTTTGGGTGGTTTGCAAAGAAAGTAGCCCCCAGGTCCTGCTTGTTAACTCCTAGTTGGGTGGATTGCCTCAGGACAAAGGGAAGACCTCTAGGAGCCCTGGTCTCAGGAACTGCCTTGATAGAGAAGTCAGAGACCTTTGTCCAAGCTTATCGGTGAGTACCACTTCCCTCAGGGACTAGATCATGAGAGCCTGGACAATAAGCATATCAGTGAGGACCAGTGGAGGCCATACACCTTTCTTTCAGGATTTAGGACCTAAGAAGACATCTCTACTCCCGATTTCTGTGTCACCTGGAAGTGGAATTGGAGGAGGGAAGTCCAGAAATGATTAAAATGCAATTTCCTACTTGCTGACGCAGCTCAATTTGATTTAAACAAAATTTGTGATACTTCTTTTTCTCAGAGCTAAGGTGAAATTTTCACTGCTTTTTCTTTCCCTTACCATTTGTTCATCTGCAAAATGGTGATTATTGTACTCACCTTGCAGAGTTGTTTCTAGCATTTAATCAAATGACCTGTGTAGAGTGACTATATCACCACCATAATAGAAGGTGCTCAATAAATTGTCACTAGGAAATATTCACATTATATGTGTTCATAGTGTTGCAAAAATGGAATCAGGTGCTAGGTTTTTAAAGCACAAGACATACTTCTAGTTTTCAAGAATTTTATATTATAATTATAAAGCTATCTAGAAGTACTAGGTTCATATCTCTAAGCAAGAAATACAGGCAGGTGAATCATGGGAAATTGAATTCCATTCAATTTCATAAAAGTAAATTGAATGGAAGAATTTGGAGGCAGAAGTCATGATGTAAGACAGAAAACCTATGGGAAGCTTAAGAGAGAAGATAGCAACACTAAAGGTGAAAGGAATTTGTCTGTGATGCTATCATTAGAAAATCTCATAAACAGAGAGAAAGAAAATCTTCTCCAACACACAACATTTGGACAGCAGGTTTAGATTTTCTTCATCTTTTTTCTCTTCAATTTTTTTCCACTGCAACGATAAGCTAAGAGATTGATTTTATTTCAAGAATAACTAAGGGTATACTAATATGCATATCTCAAAATAACATTGCATTATTGAAGACATACTGTTCCAATAGTCAAACAGTTAACAGAGAGGGGACAGGAACCAACAAACTGGAAAAACACACCTGTATTATACATAAAAATCAGTGGCCAATATTTCTCCAGTTATTCTCAAAAGAAAAATACTCAGCAAGTTACAAACTGAAAAGCTTTGCTTAAAAGCTAAACAAAACAAAACAAACCTTCCATGTATAAGAAAAGCTCAGCCCCTTAAAAACGAGACTGTTGGTGGGAGTTGAACCGTTGTGGAAGACAGTGTGGCAATTCCTCAAGGATCTAGAACCAGAAATGCCATTTGACCCAGAAATCCCATTACCGGGTATATACCCAAAGGATTATAAATCATTCTACTATAAAGACACATGCACACGCATGTTTATTGCAGCACTATTCACCATAGAAAAGACTTGGACCCAACCCAAATGCCCATGAATGATAGACTGGATAAAAAAAATGTGGCACATATACACCATGGAATATTATGCAGCCATAAAAAAGGATGAGTTCATGTCCTTTGCAGGGACATGGATAAAGCTTAGCATCATCCTTAGCAAACTAACAAGGAACAGAAAACCAAACGCTGCATGTTGTCACTCATAAGTGGGAGTTGAACAATGAGAGCACACGGACACAGGGAGGGGAACATCACACACTGGGGCCTGTCAGGGGCTTGGGGGAAAGGGGAGGGATAGCATTAGGAGAAATACCTAATGTATATGATGGGTTGATGGGTGCAGCAAATCACCATGGCATGTGTATACCTATGTAACAAACCTGCACGTTCTGCACATGTGCCCCAGAACTTAAAGTATAATAAAAAAAGATTTAAAAAAGACAAAACAAACAAAAACCAGATAGACATCCATAAAGTAAAACAAATGAGAAAAACTGGCTAAACTTCTCAAACTAAATTATATCAAATATATATATGCATTTTTGCAAAATAAAGTACTAAACTATTCTTTGTAGACATATTCATTACATTTATTTTAATAACTACTTTGATATAGGTTGACTGGCTCTATTCTATTTGTTAAAGAAGGCAAATGTTCCCAGCCATGTTTTACATTAACATGAATTATACTGCCTTTTTTGTTTTTCTGTTTTGGTTTTTTTTTTTTTTTTTTAAGGGGATTTCACTCTTGTTGCCCAGGCTGGAGCGCAGTGGTGTGATCTCTGCTCACCACAACCTCCACCTCCTGGGTTCAAGCGATTCTCCTGCCTCAGCCTCCCGAGTAGTTTGGATTACAGGCATGCGCCACCACGCCCGGCTAATTTTTGTATCTTTTAGTAGAGATGGGGTTTCTCCATGTTGGTCAGGCTGGTCTCGAACTCCCGACCTCAGGTGATCCGCCCACCTCAGCCTCCCAAAGTGCTGGGATTATAGGAGTGAGCCACCGTGCCCAGCCTGAATTATACTGTTTAATGAAGACCCAGCTTTTCATTTGTTTTAAATCAAAGTTATAGGTGCACAAAGTTTAAAAAATAAAATAATTCAACAGAATATTCCAAATACTCCTTACCTCCTGTGATCCATTTTTTTCTACTCAGGATCAACCACTTTCAACTCTTACCTGTTTTGTTTCTTTCTCAGGTATATGACCTTGATGTTTCTAAATAATGTGCTAATATTTCCAGTCTTGTTTTTCCCCAGCCATTATCTATTAATATTTACATCCCATTTTGTTTTGTTAAAATTTTTTATTCTTAATTATGGATACAAAATAGTGGTATAGCTTCCCATTTTGGAAAATGGTGACTCCTCTTTACTTCTCATATCTATACTCCACCCCCATCCCATCACATGAATTCTTCTTTGCTCCCCATCTTTCTAAGGTGGTTATATTATTATTTAAGTTGTAACAAATTATTGTATGATGATGATGATGATGCAAATGCTATTCACAACTATGCCTTGTAGAATACAATGATTTATACAAATATGATTGTTTTTCCTATTTAAAGCCTGGTTTTCTCTAAATTAAATAGCTGTCCTTAAATATTTTTATATTAGTTTTCTATATAATCCTAATTCATACTTTCTGCCAATTGCCTAAATCTCTCCTGGTGTTGCATACCCCTGATGCACTCCTTCTCGAAGATGATAATTTGTTTTAATCTGGAAAGGCTGATCTCAGAGCTGGTCACACAGCTGTATTCATGGAATTGACTATGACCACACTCCTGCCATTTCATTCACCTCTCTCCCCTGTCCCCAGGGTTTCATGTCTTCATTTTTCTTGGTTTACCCACTGACTTTACTTAAGCACATTCTCCAGGTGGTTATCTTAGAGAGGGTGCAGGTGATGTAAAATTCTTGATACCTGAATGTCTGAAAACATTCTTATTCTTCTCTCATACTCAATTGATAGCTTGGCTAGATACAGATGTCTATATTGAGAAATGCTTTCTTTCAGAATTTTTAAGATGTTGCTTTTCTAACTTCCAGTGTGCTGCTGAAAAATCCAAGGCTATTCAGATTCTTGGTCTTTTTAGGTGACCATTTCCCCTCCTCTTTGGAAGCTTGCCTTTGTCCCCAGTTTTAAGACTTTGTGATGATGTGACTTCAGTATGGTTTACTCTTAGCCATCATCTGCACACTATGAATTCTCTTTTAATCAGAATACTTAGGTCATTCTGTTCTGAGAAACTCACTTGAAATACTTCTTAAATAATTTTCTCAGCCTTATTTTCTCTGTTCTATTTCTTGAGAACTCTTATTTGAATATTGAACTTATGAACTTGTCCTCTAAGTTTCTGATTTTTTTCTTCTCTTTTTTATTTTTGGTTCTGCTTTCTGGAAGATTTCTCCAATTTTATTTTGTGAAACTTCTATTGAGTTTGTCATTTATGCCATTACGTATATTTTTCTTTTCACTCAGCACGTTCTAGTCTCACCATTATATTTTTAAAGAATCTAATCTTTTATATTTTTATTTATTGGATATTCCTTTTCTTATGGCAGGCTATACTTGTTTCATGGAAACAATATCTTCTCATAGTTCCCTGAGGATATTAATGATAATACATTTTCTTCCCTCTGTGTCATCTCTGGTTCTTTTGGTTTGCTTACACTTTAACTTTGTTTTCTATTTTTTGTATTAGATGTCTTAAGTATCTAGTGATCCTTCATTGTTTGCATATATTTAAGAATATGGCTCACTTAGAGTGTGTACGTGGAGATTGTGAACTTTGTTGTGGGGATATCTGTGTAGGTCAGTGTCATGTAATATTGTTAGCAGTGGCAAATCTGTACAGGTGTGCAGTGACTCAATTCTTGCCTCCTCTGAGGAAAGAATTTGGCTAAGGGGCATAAGATAGACTGAGAGACTGAGGCAACTTTTAGAGCAGGAGTGAAAGTTTATTAAAAAGTTTCAGCGCAGGAATGAAAGGAAGTAAAATGCACTTGAAAGAGGGCCAAGTGGGCAACTTGAGAGCTCCAAGGGCCCTGTCTGACCCTTGACTTGGGATTTTATACATTGCTGTGATTCTGGGATTTGCATTTCTTTTTCCCTAACTCTTCCTTTGGGGTGGGCCCTCCGCATGTGCAGTGGCTTGCCAGCACTTGGGCTGGGCTGCATGCACAGTGAATTTACTGAAGTTGTACACATGTTCACTTGAGGTGTTTTTCCCTTACCAATCGAGCGTACTTAGAGGCAAGTCATATACCATTTATGTCCTGCCATTTTGCCTCAGTCCACATGCTTGAGCCCACTTGCCCAACCCCTGATATTTTATTGGGAACCTGCTGATAAACAGCTTCAGCTATTTTCTGGCTATTTCCTTGGCACCAGCTGCAACCAATTATTATTTTAGAGAGACAGTTTTAACAACTGCCTGACCATCACCTGATGGTCGTCTGACATTCCTCGGGGTTGGGGGGCAACCCTCTTCTGCCCTGCTCATGTCTGCCTGGCTACCTGCTCTAACAATATAACTTTTTATGATGTTGAACATGTTCTATATTTGCACTGTCCGATGCTATAGCTACTAGCCACATGTGCCTATTGATCACTTGAAATGTGACTAGTGTGACTGAGGAACTGGTGTTTTAATTTTACTTAATTTTATTACTTTAAGTTTTAGAATAAATTGCCACAAGCGTCTACTTCCTACTTCATCGGACAACACAGATCTAGGCTATCTCTGAATTTTTTCTATAGCCAGTTTGGTGGATTCATTAGATAAAGAGTTTTTAACTCCTTTCTGGAAGATTTAGGCCTGATTGCTAGCATGAATGAATTTTAGTTTTTAATATGTCAACATCTACCTAATCCTAATTTTCTGTTCAGTATTGCAGTTCTCACTTCTCCCAGCACCCTCTGTGTTAGCTTTGCCCAAAAAATAAATTTCCAGGCTTTTCTTGAAAGTAGATAGGAGACTTGAGGCTCTAATTGTTTGTTTTTGCTCTTTTCAATTTTATTTTCAGAGCCACCTAGCACTACCAGTTCCCAAGACTTGTGTTGCAATCAATGGCTTCTCAGCTTTTCTCCTACCATCTTGGGAGCCAGCACTTTTTCTGTATGCTACATCAGTTTTCTTTCATTTATTTCCTTTCCAACTTCCTTTTTTCTTTTTTTTTTTGAGATGGAGTCTTGCCCTGTCACCAGGCTGGAGTGCAGTGGTGCGATCTCAGCTCACTGCAACCTCTGCCTCCCAGGTTCAAGTGATTCTCCTGCCTCAGCCTCTTGAGTAGCTGGGACTACAAGTGCGCACCACCACGCCCAGCTAATTTTTGTATTTTTAGAGATGGGGTTTCACCATGTTGGCCACGATGGTCTTGATCTTTTGGCCTCGTGATCCAGCCGCCTCAGCCTCCCAAAGTGCTGGGATTCAGGCGTGAGCTACCGCGCCCGGCCTTCTTTTTCTTTTTTCCGTCACATGGGCTGGAGTGCAGTGGCACGATCACACTCACTGCAACCTTGAACTCTCAAGCTCAAGCAATCATCCTGCTTCAGCCTCCTGAGTGGCTGGGACTACAGGTGTGAGCCACCATGCCTGACTAATTTATTTTTGCTTTTATCTTTTGTAGAGACAAGGGTCTCACTACGTTGCCCAGACTGGTCTCGAACTCCTGAGCTCAAGCAATCCCGCCCCAGCCTCCCAAAGTGCTCAGATTATAGGCATGAGCCACCACACCTGGCCCCAACTTCCAAGTTTTGATGCTGTTGTCTCTTCCCTCATTTTTGGTCCCTATAATTTTATGTTCTGGAAAAAAAAAACTCTTTATCATGTTTTAGTGGGGGTTCAAAACACAAATGAATATGTTCATTTAGCCATCTTTACTCCAGCGTTGGTTTATTTCATATGTGAATCTATATTTATAATCTTTCCAATATAATCACTTAGTCTACTGTTTTTTAAGTTGTCCTTTAAATGGAACATTTACAGTGTTACCCAACTGTTATAATTTAGAATTCATACCTCCAGGAATCATTACAAATCCGTGTAAAATATTTTTGTCTTCTTTTTTTACCAACGCCATCAGCTGATCCCTATAAGCATTTTAAACTTGCACTGATTGAGACTGAATCAGAACATCGTGTCTTCTCACAATGAGCTTTTCAAAATAATTGGATAGGCCTCTCATAACAGGAAAGATTTTGTACAGATTAAAATATAAGGTGAATTCTTGTATCTCTAAGAAAAAAATGGGAAAAACTACACTTTATATTCATACATATATAATTAGCTGTTCAAAATAATTGAATAGGACTCCTATAACTGGATAGATTTTATAAAGACTCCAATATAAGGGAATTCATTTTATTTGTATGAAAAAATGTTCAGGGGAAATGTCATCTTACATTGAAGTATTTATGGTATTTAGGCAAATCTGCACAAAATATAAAGTATTAGTGTGACTTAAATACATAATCATTGCTACTGTGTTTTCTTTTCTCTTCTCCCACTGTAGGGGTGGTCATCAATAATGACTACAGTTGTACATTTTCCTGAGCATAAAGATTCTGATTAGCTATAAAAGTGCCATTGATTGTACCTCCATGTTCACGGGATTGGGCATAAGCCCATTATATTTAAGGGAATATCTGACGAGGGGGATAAGCAGAGTCATAGGAAGAGTAAGCCATTCTAACCTTACAAGGGGCTACATTTTGAAACTTACATTTCAGCTTGTACCTTTTCTGGAATGGTATGATTTATTTCTGCTCCTTGTTTTCTAACTGTAAACTGACTTTTCTTGCAAAATAAAGATGGCGGCTCATCTCTTAAACGCCACGGGTGGACCCAGTCAAGGCCCATGCTTAGAACCTTCAAAGCCCACCAGTCTTCGAGAATGTTTCTTTGGGGAAAAAGTAACCAGAGCTAGCTGCTTTTGCTTGCATGCCCTTTGGGTGCTAAAAATGAGCCTTGGTGTACAGCTCTTCTGTTTTTGCTGGACCTACTGTATGACTTCTGTGTAAATCTTGACAGTTGGCAAATCACGCTTATGTTTGTTTTTCTGTTCAGTGGTTGAAGCTATTGCTGCACCCTCATTGTTCTTTCTTTTCCCTGAATTCCTACCCCACCCAGAATTTGTAACACACAATTTTCTATCTAATTATATAGTGTCGTTTTGTTGCTACTTGCTTCAGGTAGTCCCACTCTCCCTACCTCCTTCCTTCCCGCCTCCATCTAACTAAACCGTGGTGGTTCAGAAGACAAAAGTCAGGCATTGTCTGTCTTTGTAACCCCCACGTGCTGCTTGCAGAGACACTCGGATAATAAGACTCTTGCAGGGAGAAAATTTCCCCTTTGCCCTCTAAAGACTCACTGAAAATCAACAGACAAAAAGCACATTAATAAAAGAAAACGCATACAGAATTTATTTGATGTGCACAGGATGGGAGAATTGCTGGAGAATGATTACCCAATAACCCAGGGTGGTATAGAAGCTTATATATGCTTTTTCCCAGGGGAGGGGAGAGATGAGGAACGTGGAAAATTCTTTTGAGGGGCAGCAAATCATTTGAGAGAATGAATGGACCCAGAAGATGGGAGGCAGACATTTTGGGAAGGTGAGAGGTGGGGCTGCACAGGAATGAAGGTTGACTTATTATGAAGCAAAGTCCTCTAGGTAATCACTTGGAGCTGTCCTCAGAAGGATAGATGAAAATTCTGTTGGGGACATGGTGATGACTCCCAGTCTCTTCTTTTCTCTGGTGGTTGATCCTCCCTGGTTGTTTGATGAGATTCCCTAGAAAAGGGGTTTAAGACAATTACAATTCTTTTGGAAAGAAATTTTCTTGGTCAGATAAGGACATTCCAGAAAGAATCACTCCCTGTGCTTGAGGTGGAGGAACAAGTCAAGGTTAGAAGGACCTTGATTCTGAGGCAGCTTCTAAGTCCTCTCAACATTTCAAAGCACCAGTCTTTGGGGTATCGCTTTCTGAGCCCCAACACTCTCATAGCGAGAGACATGACTATCGCATGTGTTACCATTTATAGTGTACATCCTCTGTCTCAAGTGCTGTGAAAGCACTTCATGTATTATTTCTCATTCTTACATAGATCCTTCAAGGGGAATGACATTTTTACTGCCTTTCCCAGTTGAATCTAAGACTCAGAGAAGGCCAGTAAATTCCATACAGCTAGAAAGCATCAGTCAGGATTTGAAGCCAGGTTGAACCCAGCATTTGAATCCATGCTCTTTCTACACTTGTAGTATACCAACTCCTTTCATTCTCAGAACTCACATAAGGTCTGCATATTACAGATAAGCTTATTCTACAAGCATATTCTAGCAGCATTATTGAATTTTCATCTAGAGCTGTAATGTGGACTACTAACCTAGATAGAATCGAAATCCATCTAGGATGGACTGGATGCTGAGACATATAATGTTAGCTCTGTCCTTTTGGGAATTAGGTGACCAGTTTTCCAAGCAAATGTACTTGTCTCCTTAGGGCCATTGGATCCTGGTGAGAACCTGGGAGAGTCAAGATATCATCAATGAGCAGCCTGGTTCTGAAATTCAGAACCCCTCCTGAGTCTAACAATGGCAGAAAGCTCTTAACTTATTCTTCATTTCCTTCTCTGCATTCCTTACTCCCCAGATTTAAAAACGACACTCTCTCCATGATATAATCATGGGCAAGCACTCTGAGTTGAGTGTCAGAGGTATTTTATTTGTCTTGGGAAGATGTAAATTCCTGGGTGTGTACAGATTCCAGTGGCTTTCCGAGGGAAAGAGCATGCTGCTTTTCTTAAGAAAGGCCACCAATGGGAATGATTTCTGGTGATGCAATGTTGATATTTTAGTACCATTCTAGAAAAGGGAAGAGGTGGGGTTTCTCTGGAGCCAGATTAACTCATAATTAGTTCTCACGCAGCCTGCTTAAGTAATTATGGTGAAACCAAATCACATTACTTTTTTCTCCTGTTCCTGATAAAAGCTTCAACCCCACTCCTTCTGCCCCATAGGGCACTTGGCTGGCCATCATACCCTACACTACAGGCACTATTCTTCAGTTCTGTTTCCAGGCTACAACTGTCACTGTGTAAAATAAGAAGTGTGGGGGAAAAATGTACACCTCTCGGTCTCACTACTTCAGAGGCACCTAGCAACCCTGTCTCCAGGCAGGCAGCACGCATCTCCCTGGTAGTTTACAGCCCACTCACAGCAGAGGCGGCATGCTCTCTGCAAATAGCCTACGTCTTTGCTGGTGCCAGCTTGGCGGTGGGGTGGTGGTGTCATTTGGTGTCCTCAGGGACGTTTGGTTCTTGTTCTGGGAAGACTAGGGCAAAGCAATGACTATTTCACCAAAACTGCCTGAGGGATTAGAAATTAGGTCAAGCAGTTCTGTACTTGGGGTTGCATTGTCTAAAATCAAAAGCAATGGTTTTTAATCTTTGTTTTTCTCCAGTCTTTGGGACATTTCTGTCATAAACCTTCCAGTATGCTTGGGAAGATAGAAAAGGATGTTTATGGTGTGGCGTGGTGGCTCACGCCTCTAATCCCAGCACTTTGGAAGGCCGAGGCGGGCAGATCATCAGGTCAAGAGATCGAGACCATCCTGGCTAACATGGTGAAACCCCGTCTCTACTAAAAATAAAAAAATTAACCAGGCGTGGTGGCGGGCACCTGTAATCCTAGCTACTTAGGAGGCTGAGGCAGGAGAATTGCTTGAACCCAGGAGGCGGAGGTTGCAGTGAGTCACGATCGCACCACTGCACTCCAGCCTGGCGACAGAGTGAGACTTCACCTCAAATAAATAAATAAATAAACAAATAAAGGTTGTTTCTAAAAGGTATATTGGCCAGGCATGGTGACTCATACCTGTAATCCCAGCACTTTGGGAGGCCGAGGCAGGTGGATCACCTGAGGTCAGGAGTTTGAGAACAGCCTGACCAACATGGTGAAAGCCTGTCTCTACTAAAATCCAAAAAGTTAGCCAGGCATGGTGGTGCATGGCTTTAATCCCACCTACTTGGGAGACTAAGGCAGGAGAATCGCTTGAACCTGGGAAGTGGAGGTTGCAGTGAGCCAAGATCACACCATTGCAGTCCAGCCTGGGCAACAAGAGCAAAACTGTCTCTCAAAAATAATAAATAAATAATAAACATAGAAGGTGTATCTATGCAATGAGCAACTCTGCTGGCCACTTTGTCTATCTGTCAGCCCACTAACAATGATACACATCAACCATTCTCACATCCATCCTCTGCTTCTAGAATGTCAGCTGGGCTGAAGAGCATCTTGCACTGGTTTACCAACAAGCCCACATGAACATTCCATTTCAGGCTCAAGTACCACAGGATATTATACATAGATGCTGAGACTTTAAATTAGATTTCTGTACCTGAGGGAATTTGTAAAGAGTCTTTGTTTCTTAACTTCTTGTATTTGACTTCATTTTAAGCTCCCCCCCTGGAAGAAGGGCCTTGGAGAATGAAAGTTGTGTCTCTTTGGGAGGCACACAAAGCTTTTCCTATGTGGTAATTGATTAAAGAATGGAAGAATGCAGGCTTTTAGGAATATAAGGCTTGGGAAACTGAGTCCTGCTGGGTAGAGAGATGATCTCAAGATATCAGGAAAGGGCCGGGCGCGGTGGCTCACGCCTGTAATCCCAGCACTTTGGGAGGCCGAGGCGGGCGGATCACGAGGTCAGGAGACCGAGGCCATCCTGGCTAACACGGTGAAACCCCGTTTCTACTAAAAATACAAAAAATTAGCCGGGCGTGGTGGTGGGCGCCTGTAGTCCCAGCTGCTCAGGAGGCTGAGGCAGGAGAATGGCGTGAACCCGGGAGGCGGAGCTTGCAGTGAGCGGAGATCGCGCCACTGCACTCCAGCCTGGGCGACAGAGCGAGACTCCGTCTCAAAAAAAAAAAAAAAAAAAAAAGATATCAGGAAGGAACAAGGTTTTAACCTGCAAGAGTCATTCACTCATTCACAGAACAGTTATTGAATTCCTACCACGCGCCAGGCCCTCTGCTAGCAAGGGAAACAAATATGAATGACAAGTGTAATCCACAAGCTCATAGTCTACAGGATATTTTAGTAAAAGCAATAATTAGAAACAATGTCAGATTTGTTGTAATGCAAGGAAGTGCATAGCCCTTTGGAATCTCAGACAGTAATGGGAGACCTCTCTAGGGAGATGAAAGGGAGGGAGGAAGAGAGGGCTATATAATTTAATTGTTGATAATAGCCACGTTTAACAATTGGCTGCAAAATTTCTGAAAATTTAACACTCCACTCTCATGAGCTGATAAAAACTGGCTCCACAACACCATGGGATGAAGGTGAAATTGGGAAGTGTAGATATGTCTTGTTGCCATGCTAAGGAGGTTGGACTCATTCCACAAGGCAGGATAATTTGAAATACTAATTAGTGCTTTTATTTTTCTTGTTTTATATATTTTTACTTTCCCTCACCAAAGAAGTTACCTAACTTCTGTTTTTCTTGTCTCAGGGTCTTTTGTGCTGCTGGGCAGAAACCAAATATTTTAAAGAAATAAGGCTGGCATTACCTATCTTCATAGCACCTTGTAGATATGGTAGAGGTGAAGAACGGTAGACAGCATTGTAGGCAAAGACCAGAGGGCCTATTTGTGAATATTCTGGATGAGAGCCCTGTAATTTCAAAAGATCTTTGATAGAAAAGGAAGGAGCACAATAAAAAGACTGAAATTGAATTTCTCACTGGCTGAGTGGAAGAGGGTTGAATATAATTTAACAACTGCAGAGAATTTAAGGGAAGAGAACTTCCTTGCACTCTAGTGTTATAGGGTAAAACTGATACCTGCTAGTCATACACATGTTTTAACCAGAATTATGACCTGATTTTATCTAAATTTTGGAAGGATAACTCTGCCACCTGCATAGAGAAGGAATTGGAAAGGGGAGAACCGGATGAGCTTGTTGCAATCATCTATGATGGTGAGGAGAGTAGCCAGGGTAGTCTAGGAAAAAAAGAGGAGAGGATAGACTCCAGAATATTTCAGAGGATAAATCACAATTGATGTCAATATAACTTTGAGGATTTAAAATATGAGTGGTGTGATTTAGAGGCAAATGCAAGCCCCATGCCTATTTTGGTTATATCTCTATTTTCTGCCTGGCACAAGGCCTGGCAGTTAGCAGGTGCTCAATAAATATATATTGAATGAATGAAAGAGCAAATACATGAGTAAGTCAAATGCACAAACAACTAGGCATGTTTTTATTACATTAAAAGACTAGTCAAAAGAATGAGAAGACAAATCACGGATTAAGAAAAAAATCTTGGCAAAAGACAGATCTGACAAAGGTCTGCTATGCAAAATATACGAAAACCTTTTAACACTCAATAATTAAAAAGCATCCCAATTAAAAAGGAGGCAAAAGACTTGAACAGAGACCTCACCAAAGAAGTTACACAGATGGCAAATAAGCATATGAAGAGATGCTCTAGTTCATATGTCATTAGGGAACTGAAATCAAAGTAACAGTGATGCCTGTCCTCTAGATGCCTAATCACTAGATGCCTGCTAGAATGACCAAAATCCAGAACAGTGACAGCACCAAATGCTTGTGGAAATGAGGAGCAACAAGAACTCTCATTCATTGCTGGTGGGAACGCAGAATGGCACAGTAACTTTGGAAGGCAGGTTGGCAGTTTCTCACAAGGCTATATATACTCTTACCGTATGATCCAACAATCATATTCCTTGATGTTTACCCAAATGAGTTGAAAACTGCTGTCCACACAAAAACCTGCACAGATGTTTTTAGCAGCTTTATTCATAATTGCCAAGACTTGGAAGCAACCAAAATGTCTTTCGGCTGGGTGAATGGATAAACAAACTGTGGCACATCCAGACAATGGAATACTATTCAACATCAAAAAGAAATGAGCTGGCTGGGCACAGTGGCTCATACCTGTAATCCTAGCACTTTGGGAGCTTAAGGAAGAGGATCACTTAATGTTGAGACCAGTCTAGGCAACGTGGTGAAACCCTGTCTCTACAAAAAATGCAAAAATTAACCAGGCATGGTGGTGTGCACCTGTGGTCCCAGCTACTTCAAAGGCTAAGGTGGGAGGATTCCTTGACCCTGGGAGGTGGAGGCTGCAGAGCTATGAAAAGACATGGAGGAAACTGAAATGAAAACTACTAAGTGAAATAGTGAAATAAGCTAATCTGAAAAGGCACACACTGTACAATTCCAAGCCAAAAGTATGGGTATGGTAAAAAGATTGGAGCTTGCTGGAGCTGGAGGAAAGGAAGGGATGAATAGGCAGAGCACATAGGATTTTTAGGGCAGTGAAACTATTCTGTATGATATTATCATGGTGGATACATGTCATCATATACTTGTCAAAACCCATACAATATATAACACCCAGAGTGAATCCTAATGTAAACTATAGACTTTGAGTGATAAACACAATTTATGGGAGGCCATTGTTTTGAGCTAGCGTTCCACATGAGGCTCCAGCAGACCAGACCAAACTAGGATGGAGTCACTTATGTTCCACATTATCAAACGGAACCTTAAAACGGGCCAGTTTAAAAAAATAAAAACAGCCCAGGAGATTCCAGGCAATCTGAGTCAATGAATAAGGGAGTGCCCTCTGTTTCAACCTTACAAAGAAAGTAACTTTGAAACCACCAATACACTTTTTGTTCTCTGTTTCTGATTTCTTCAACATTTTCCTGTCTATAAAGCCAATCTCCTCTGCTCAGCTTATCAGAACACTCATTCTGTTTTATAGAATGTGGTATTGCCTGATTCTAGAATCTCAAATAGAAGCCAGTTAAATTTTTAAACTAGATTTGGGGTAATTTGATCTTTTGACAGTGATGGTGATTTGTTAATGTAGTTCATCAGTTTTAACAAATGTACCACTGTGGGGCAGGATGTTGATTGCGGGGAAGGCTTGTGTGTGTGTGGGTGTGTGTGTGTTGGCAGGTGGGGGAGGTGCATGTGGCAGTTATGGGACCTCTTTGGACATTACGCCCAGTTTTTCTGTGAAACTTAAAGTGCTCTGAAAATAAAAGTCTAGGCCAGCTGCAGTGGCTCACGCCTGTAATCCCAGCACTTTGGGAGGCTGAGGCGGGTGGATCACGAGGTCAGGAGATCGAGACCATCCTGGCTAACACGGTGAAACCTCGTCTCTACTAAAAATACAAAAAATTAGCCGGGCATGGTGGTGTGCACCTGTAATCCCAGCTACTCGGGAGGCTGATGCAGGGGAATCACTTGAACCCAGGAGGTGGAGGTTGCACTGAGCGAAGGTCACACGACTGCACTCCAGTCTGGGCAATAGAGCGAAACTCCATCTCAAAAAAAAAAAAAAAAAAGGCTATTTAAAAGGAAAAAATATGAGTCTCAAAGTGACATGAGAATTTGTGACTCAGTGTCAGAATAGTGGTTATGGAAACTTCACTTCTAAGTCACCTGCAGCTGATATTCTGACCAGTAGACTGCACTTGTGTAAAGATCAATGAACATGATCAGAAAAACAAATGCTAGTGTGGCAGAAGGAAACTGAGATATAACGGATCATTATGAGGTCTGTGTTGAAGAAGAGGGTATGAGAATTTGAACCAAGAGTTCTATGAATGTCAAATGACTTTGGGCTTCATTGGAACTCTCTACTAGTTAGAGGGGGTGAATTTCCTATGCACTAGCTTACCACCGGGCAGTTGTAGCTATTAACATATGACCATGAGATCTACGGAAGAAGGAAAAAGGAAACAACTTTATTTTCTGAGTAACAATTAGCAGATTAGGGAAATGTGCTTTCAAGGAAACCAAAAGCATGCAGAAGGGAAGGAAACAGTGGAATTCAGGTCTTCCAGGGTCTGTCTTACATGCTTATTCATCAGGCTTGGGAAATAGCTATTAATATTTATGGGAAAAGTCAAGCTCATGTCCAGTGAGTTAACATGTATGTAACATACATTCCATGTTCACTTTGGGGTGGGGTTTTATCATTAAAGTGAGGTGGAATTTGACTTTTTACCTCAAAAAGTGAATTATAGGGCACAAAGACATTTGTGCACAGTCTCTGAAAGCTGGCTGGGACCGGATTAGGGTCTGTAGCTGCTTATCAGGAAACAATGTTTGTAAGGCAGGTCTCTTGTAAAATGGGTGCTGCTGGCAGGATCCCTAAGGTGGGGGTCCACCCAAATGAGTCTGGCAATGTTTTCCTAGAACAGGTTTCAGTCTAACTGCAGAAAGAAAACTTTATAGCAGTTAACAAGCCTTTTAGTAGTAATGCAGGATTTTTTGCTCCTTTTCTCGGCTAAAATCCGAGTTCTTGTCTCACAACCAGGAAAAATCAGGTCCACGGACACATTGAAAGGTGAGGAGAGCGGAATTTATTAAAAGAAAGCTCTCAGCAAAAAGAGGGGGTCCTGCCAATAGGCTCCCACCTCACAGACTGAATACCAGGCCACCACACACGAGCTGAAGAAGCCAGACTCTTTCCCCTGATTAGGCAGAATTCCTGGTGGCTCCACCCCATTCCCCCAGTGCTCACGTGAGCCCCCAGTCCACCCAGTCCATTGCAGGCATGCCCAGGCAAGATCCTGGGCAAATTCCCTTATCTGTCTCCTGGATCTATCGGTAGTTAACAATGTACAGGTACATGACCAAACCCTTTTCTCTGTTATGGCCGCTTAATTTTCTCTTGAGGGTCTCAGCCACAGAGAGTTCATCTCATCTGTCAGCTGGGGGTATGTTAATGTTAATATACCAAATGCCATTTCAGACCATATTGTTCTAAGCAAACAAATATTTGCTTGTAAGCAGGCACAACACAATTTTACAGCCTGTGGTGACTTGGAATATTTTCACTTTCAACCCTTGAACATCACCTTCATGAAAGGATTTCTGCATGATGGAGGCAGATAGGTTCTGATCGATGAAAGGGCAGCCCTTTTGGTGAGATCTGATGACAGGATTGTCTGCTAAGAGAAGGAGCACACGGCCACTGGGGCCTTCAATCTAGAAGCTGCCCTTTGGTATGAACAACTGGCCCAGACAGGTATTTATTTATATGTAACTCCTGCAAATATGGAGATGTCTAACTTCCAACAATCACACACAACTTAAACCCCACTAATTTCACCAATGAAAAATTCTAACATGCTAAATAATAAACCTTCTGTATGTTGACTTCATACAAATACTTTTTAATGCCACCTGGCCAATTCTTTTTTTTTTTTTTTTTTTTGTGATGGAGTTTTGCTCTTGTCATCCAGGCTGGAGCGCAGTGACCCGATCTCGGCTCACTGCAACCTTCGCCTCTTGGGTTCAAGTGAGCCTCAGCCTCCCGAGTAGCTGAGATTACAGGCACCTGCCACCACGCCCGGCTACTTTTTGTATTTTTAGTAGAGATGGGGTTTCACCATGTTTCCCAGGCTGCTCTCAAACTCCTGACCTCAGGTAATCTGCCCACCTCAACCTCCCAAAGTGCTGGGATTACAGGCCACGCGCCCGGCCCCACTTGGCCAATTCTTAGGGTGTTAATTCTATTAGGTTACTTCATGTGCTAATCGATCCCTAGGGTACAAATTAGAGTTAATTGCTGCACACAGAGTTCCCAGTGTTTACATACCGTAGTATTGTAAAGTGAATTACAACACACAATGAAATCAAAGGAAACATCAAAAAGAAAATTTTAAGAAGTCCCCAACATCAAAATGACTGTACCTCTGCTTTACATTGTATCAGTTATAGCTGCCTAATAACGGAGATTCAATTGCGCAAGCCACCAATTATTGTGTTGGAGGGCATGAGCATATATGGGGCTTTGCAACATTTTAATAAAACAGTTTGAAATAATTTACTGTCTTGATGGTTGTAGCATCATGGCTCTTTTAGAGATTCCCCATTAACAAAAGGTAGCCCTTTACTTATAATTGCATGTAATTTTTTTTTTCGATTAACAAGAAAAACCGTGAGTACTAGGGATGTCTGGGGAGAGCAGTCAGATATCCCAGGGAGAGGTTGTCATAGAAACTGTGCTGGAGAGCAGCTATACACAGGGTAAAATGCACCCTCCAAAGAAGAGAGGATGGACATTATTGTGAAGCTGCCCTTTCTATCAGTTTCAGAGTGTAAAGCTCTTAATGAATGTCTTTGTGGAAATCATCCTCAGTGATAGCAAGGGTAGGTAGAATAGAAGGATGCTGGGGCTAATGATATATGCCTCAGCTGGGTGCAGTGGCTCATGTCTATAATCCCAGCACTTTGGGAGGCCAAGGCGGGAGGATTACTTGAGGCCAGGAGTTTGAGACCAGCCTGGGTAACAAACATAACAAGACCCCCGTCTACAAAAACAAAAACCTTCATAGGATTGTTATAGAAAATTAAATAGATAACAATCATAAAACACCCACTATGTATAGTCCTTGGAAAATATTAATAGAAATGATAATAATTTTTACATTTATTATCTCATATAATTCTCACTAGAGCAATCTGAGGGAGGCACAGTCATTATTTCCAACTATTTTTGGATACAAAAATTTATTTTCAATCATGTTTGGACATGGGGAAGGAAGAGACATATTCTAGAATTCTATCAGAAGATTAACATCACTTGAGCAACTGCTCAGTCATACCTCTGAGAATAGTAATTTTAAATAAAATAACAACTTTTTTTTTTTTGAGATGGAGTCTCACACTGTTTCCCAGGCTGCAATGGTGCAATCTCAGCTCACTGCAACCTCCGCCTCCCATGTTCAAGCGATTCTCCTACCTCAGCCTCCCGAGTAGCTGGGATTACAGGAGCCTGACACCGCGCCTGGCTAATTTTTTGTACTTTTAGTAGAGACGGGGTTTCACTATGTTGGCCAGGCTGGTCTCGAACTCCTGACCTCGTGATCTGCCCACCTCGGCCTCTCAAAATGCTGGGATTACATGCATAAGGCACCACGCCTAGCCAAAATATTTCCTTTTTTTCAATGAGAAAATGAGGATCAAAGAAGTTGAGTTGCTCAAGGTCACATTGAAAGTAGTAGAGCTGGAACCCAAATGCAAGGTTATCTAGCTCTAGGGCCCATGCCCTTAACGTCTCTGCTGGACTGAACTAGTGGGCAATCAATAACTGGTAATGATTACAAAAATGGTGGTAGAATAATAAATAGTGGAAGTTTTGATTGCCACGCTATATGTATGGCAGAATGTCATAGCATTTGTTGATTTTGTTCATTTCCTAAGTTTATTTTTCCCAATGGACATGGAGGAAAGTGTCATCCTATAGGATGACAACCAAATTGTTCTGTTTTCTCCTCCTGACTCCCTAATGCAGAGCTCCAGGCTGCTCCAACCAATCTATGGCAGATAGCACTTAAGTTAAAACCTGTTGGTCATCCCCACCTAATCTTAGTCCTTCTTCAAAACTCCAGGAAAACCAGGAATTTTCTCTCTCTCTCTCTCTCTCTCCGTCTCCCAAAGGAGCAATTTATAGCTGGAACTTCCTTACCATACTTTCCCCAATGTTTTAAGACCCTATGTTTTGGGCTGAATTGTGTCCCCCTTCTCTCAATTTATATGTTGAAATTTTAACCCTTAGTACCTCAGTATGTGACTGTTTTTGGTGACAGGACTTGTAAAGAGAGGATTAAGGTAAAATGAGGTCATAGGGTTGGACCCTAATCCAATATGACTGCGGTCCTCATTAGAACAGATTAGGACACAGACATACACAAAGGAAATACCATGTGAAGACATTACAAGACAACAGTGTTGGGGCTCAGGACACAATACTGCAAGGTATGGCCCCTTGGCGTGTTGAGTACTTTGAACTGAAAGAGATAGGGAGGGCTCAGAAGCAAGGTCTCTCTGACCTCTTACCTTCCTTTCTCTCTCTCTCCTTTTCCCTCCAAGGCAGGTCACAGAAACTAGAACTCCTCTCCCCAAAGGCAGCTGCAAAACCTAAAAATGTCACTCTCTGACCCTCTCACTTTTCCCTTGAAGGCTTTCATGTGACAGGTGTCCTGACCTGTACCCGGAGAAAGGAATGCTACACAGAGAGGCCAAAAAGAATTTGAACAAACAGGCCTCGCTAAGTTGCCTCCTCAGTTAATTACCATTAGAGCATACCATATTTGTCCAATCACATTTCTATTCTTCATTGAACCTAAGCATAAAAATACATAGGGTTATACAGAAGTTCTCTGGGCCTTCATTCTTTTTTTCTTTCTTCTTTTTTCTTTCTGAGATGGAGTCTCTCTCTGTTGCCTAGGCTGGAGTGCAGTAGCGTGATCTTGGCTCACTGCAACCTCTGCCTCCCAGATTCAAGCAATTCTCTTGCCTCAGCCTCCCAAGTAGCTGAGATTACAGGTGCCCGCCATCACACATGGGTCATTTTCGTATTTTTAGTAGAGATGGGGCTTCACCATGTTGGTCAGGCTGGTCTCAAACTCCTGACCTCAAGTGATCTGCCCACCTCAGCCTCCCAAAGTGCTGGGATTACAGGCGTGAGCCACCACACCCAGCCTGGGTCTTCATTTCTGAAAACTTCCATGTCACATGAAACACTGATTAAATACATGTGTTATACTTTTCTCTTGCTAACCTATCTTTTGTTTAGGAGTGTTGGCTGTGACCCTTGTGATGGGTGAGGAAGAGGTATTATACCTTTTTTGCCCCTGCAACAACCATCTACAAGCCAAGGAGAGAGGGGCCTCCAAAGGAACCAATCATGCTGAAGGCTTATCTTAGACTTCTAGTCTCCAGAACTATAAGGCAATAAAATTGTGTTACTTAAACCCCCCTGTGACACTTTGCTATGGCATCCCTAGAAAATGAATGCACTGCACAGCGGCCTGAGCACCATGGCTCTGTTCAAACCCATGCCACCTTTTCTTCCAGTCCTCTTCACTTTTGACATTCTGTCACTGTGTCGGTTTCCCAGTAGTTAAGCGCCAGGTGTGGAATGAGAACCCATTGTGTAAAATGGCACAGGTCCACACTGCAATTGGCTCTGGGGAGGCTAAGTCCCGGGAAAATTAATCAAGATGTGTACTCTCCTTTGTGTTCCTGTGCCTGACTCCCACTTGCTCATGCTCTCCCAGGGCATGGTGCCTTCCTCAGAGCTAACACAACACTGTGTTCATATCTAGATGAAAGTTCTCACAGGACTGTGACACCATTAATTTTTTTATGTGCCTGTTTGCCACCTCAACCCTATCTCCAGTTAAATTCTGAATTCATAGACACTGAGATTATGGCTATGAATTATTCATTTTGGTATCCCAGCATCTGCTACAATTCTAGTGGTTCAAAAAAGGCATAAATTTATATTTGGATTTTTTGAGTGGATATCTTTTTTTCTGATTTCTTTCTTTCTTCTATACCTCTGTGAAGGGAGTTTTATAATACAGATGTAAGGGAAAGAAATTTTAAATACGTTAAATATGTTGGTCAGGCATGGTGGTTCACGCCTGTAATCCCAGCACTTTGGGAGGCCAAGGTGGAAGGATCACTTGAGCCCTAGGAATTTGAGACCAGCGTGGGCAGACCCTGTCTCTATGAAAAAATTTAAAAATGAGCTGAGTGTGGTGGCACACACCTGTAGTCCCAGCTACTTGGAAGGCTGAGGTGGGAGGATCACTTGAGCTCAGGAGTTGGAGACTGCAGTAAGGCATGATTGTACCACTGCACTCCAGTCTGGGTGACAAGCAAGACTCTGTCTCAAAAATAAACAAACAAATGAATAAATATGTTATGCTATCAGCAGTGGTCAATGTCTTAAGAAAAAGCATTCATGTTTATCTTAAATGCTCTAATCAGAAGATTCTAAAATGTCTAAGCTTCTTCTTAGGGGGGAAAATCCAAGCACAATGAAGGTTGAGCTGTCTAGGAAAAACAGTCCTCAGGACCTCAAGGATCTTACTGCTCCCTCCACCTGCAAGATGGAGCCGAGCCCAAGGAGAGGAGATGGTTCTAAAATAGGTACTTTTCAGCTGGAGCTGGCTTAGAAAGTCACTCTTAATGTCTGATGAAGCTGTAGACAAGGAATTACCCTCAAGTAGTTGAAGCTTCTGTTCCATCGTTCAGGAGATAGGGAGAGAAGGGAGACTGCAGAAGAAAGAGACTCCCCAGTGCCTACCCAAGACAGACTCTGTAAGGACTGTCAGGCAGTGGGTTGGAAAATCAATGCTTTGCCTCTAGACTCCTCTGAACTCTCTTTGTGTGTTTGGATCAGTTACTAGTATGGTTGTTTCTTTTTTGGCAATGAATTGTCTCTAAATCTCCTTGAACTTTTTGGACAGAACAGAGGGACATAGTAATATATTTAGATTGTTATGAACTGTATCTTGCTTGTCATATTGAAACATGGAAACACTACCCTCATCCACTCCTTAGTGAATCTCCTGCTTTATCATGGGATCTGGTTGGAAAGAAAGTATGGTCTTTCTGCCCTTCACCCGTCTCTTCCTAGAGACACTATCCAAGGATGGTCAACTTCTTTGAAAGTCTTAGTAAAAAGCTGGGTCATGAGCTTTGGTTATTTTTAGACAACAATAGGCGATGGATGAAGCAAGTTTGTAACTAGGAATGCGTGGTTTGCACTACTTGGAATGCAGTTTGCCTTCGGGGGTTTGCTGTTTGTAAGACAATTGGCAACACCCCACAGATTTGTGTCAGGAACACCAAAGAATTAGAATCAATCATTTGTGAAGAAGCAGAACAGTCCTCCATTAGACTTTATATATTAATAAAAATGAGCACAAGTGAGGGTCAGATCTGTTCACCAGGTCCCTAATTATAATTCAGAGAGCCAGGGGAAAGAGAAAAAAGTAAAAAAAAAAAAAAAAAAAAAAAGAAGAATGCCTGACGTTTGGGAACACTAAACAGAGACAGAAGATTTTTCTGTCTTTCACGTCAAACATCCAGCCACGTGCTCACTTTTTTTCCTTGAAAGGCATTTAACGTTGTGGGATTATATTTTTCTTCCTGACTCCTAGAAAAATATAAATGTCATCGACGTTTGATCTCATCTAGGTAGTTTGAAGGCTCTTCGTTTGTGGGTAGGAAAGTTAATGCCACAAAATGTACTAAAATTCAAAAACATTCCAACTTTAATGATTCACAGCAAAGTCAGAATGCAGGTCAGATGCTGTATTTCTGATATTTAAAAAATACAAAAAGAATTCTTTGAAAGTATGTTTCCAAAAGACAGTAGACATTTGTACTATTTATCATTCAGCAAGAGCTAAATAGCATAGGAACATGGTTATTCTAAGTTACATTTTGAAAAAAGAGAAACAAAACAATTATTTCTGAAAACAGCAAAAACATCAAGCTTGCTAATTTGAACAGTTTTGACAGTTGACACAAAGGAGAGAAAAGGGCCTTTTATGTGTTGTATAAGGAAGATCTGTTGAAGAAAATTAGCTCCTACAGGAATAGGATTGATAATGTGACATATACTCACTCTGATCTAAATTTAACATCTTCCCACGTTCTCATTGCTCCAATGCCCTTCGAGTTACTATAGTGATCCTACCTTGCCATTCAACATTTAATTCCTAGGTAACAGACAACAACCGTGGCGACCAGGGAAGGAATAGGCAAAAATCTATTTATTAAATATTATCTGGAGTTACTTGCTTGAAAAAACATCTCCCCCACAACCCCAGCAGATTTTGGGCTGAGTTACAACTAAAATATAAATTGTACAAGAAGAACCAAGAAGAATTTTCAGGCTCCAATTTTGAGTTTTAGAATCTTGACATAATGGCACAGACCCCCAAAATAAAGATTCTGAAATAAGCACTTTTCATCTGGAGCTGGCCTGGAAAGTCTCTCTTAATGCTTGATGGAGCTGTAGGCAAGGAAATACCCTCAACTAGTTGCGGCTTCTGTTCCATCCACTGATGTTGTACCATATGCTTATCCTTCCTCTAAAATGGGCAGATACATGATGTGAGAGTTTTTTCTCACAAAATTAGCTTGCATTAGAAACTTCCAAATGAAAGACTCTTCTGACCACTGGAAAAACAGAGTAAGTACTTACTAGGTTCGTGCAAAAGTAATTGAGGTTTTTGCATCACTTTAATGGCAAAACCGCAATTAACTTTTGCATTAAACCTCATACATACATCATGTAAGTATACTTATATACATACTTTAAAAATATCTTCTCAGTAGCCTTCTCTTTCAGCTCTCCAGTAAAAGGGCGTCCAAAGATGGTAGCCTTCTCTTTCAGCTCTCCAATAAAAGGATGTCCAAAAACGCATACCTGAGGAGCACAAAAATACCCCACTATTTCCAGGTATTGGTCCTGTGGCAGGCCAGGTCTCACTAATGCAGTCTTCCATAACACCTGCTTCGGTACTGACTGACTGGCTAAGTTTTAAAAGCCAGTGCCCTTATACAAAGACTGGAATGTAACAAAAGCCCACCAAGAGTTTTGCCTAGGCTTTTCCTGAGCCTTAAAGCATAACAAAATAACGAAGGAATCCTTAACGGGACCCATTTAGGATTAAACAAGTTTTATTGGGAGTCTGAAGAAACTCCCCAGGCTTCACAAAGAAGCTTATTGGGGTTCTGAAGGAACTCCCCAAACCTCCATGATTTAGCAGGAGACAAGATAAGGGTAATCACCCCAGCACCTGGACCCATTTAGATCAAGTAAATTTATTGAGGTTCCAGGGGAAGGTCTCAGGACTCAGACCTTAGTTATAGATTAAAAGAAGTTAATCATGGCCAGGCATGGTGGCTCAAGCCTGTAATCTCAGCACTTTGGGAGGCTGAGGCAGGTGGATTGCCTGAGGTCAGGAGTTCGAGACAGCCTGGCCAACGTGGTGAAACCCCATCTCTACTAAAAATACAAAAATTAGCTGGGTGTGGTGGCAGGTGCCTGTAATCCCAGCTACTCAGGAGGCTGAGCCAGGAGAATCGCTTAGAACCCGGGAGGCAGAGATTGCAGTGAGCCAAGATTTCACCACTGCATTCCTGCCTGGGTGACAGAGTAGTGAGATTCTGCCTCAAAAAAAAAAAAAAAAAAAAAGGAAAAAAAGTTAATCACATGTGTCTTTAGATGAATGCACACTTACATGTAGACATATAGCTTACAAGGTATATAAGCGCTGGAAAACTTTGTGATTTTGAGTTGGTCTGGTGATAATTTCCAGGCCTTCTCCCTGTAAACGGCTGCAGAAATAAAAACTCTCTTTCTCCCCAGTTCATCTGCATCTCGTTATTGGGCCACGAGAAATAGCAGCCTGATAGTCAGTTACATCTGGGAACAGTCCTACAATGCAGTTTTCTGTGTTAGAAATAGCAATAAATCCATTCGAATGCAGGGTCCTGAACTAAGAACCCGTACTTTAAAATCTAACTTTTTCATTGCCATGGAGTGAGCAAAGGGGAACACAAACAAAAAATTAATAAAAGCAGACCAAAAGTACACTAGAAAAGTAGACAGTGAAAAAAGGAAAGGAGAGATAGATATGACGAAAATAAAGTGTTATATTCAGAAATCAGAAAGTAATACTGATTGTAACATTTGTTAAACTCTTCCTTTATCCCCAGGCTCATGCTAAGCACCTTACCTTCATTATTGTATGAAGTCCTCGTGGCAGCTATGTGGGCTTGCCACTATTAATATTTCCATATTACAGAAATATAGGGTCCAGCCCTACGGAGCTTGGCGGGTGTTCTCCTGGTGTGCAGAGATGAGAGATTGTAATAAATAAAGACACAAGACAAAACGATTAAGAGAAAAGAGCTGGACCCGGGGACCACTACCATTAAGACGCATAGACTGGTAGTGGCCCTGAACGGCTGGACACACTGATATTTATTGCATATAAGACAAGGGGGCAGGGTAAGGAGGGTGAATCTTCTAAGTGATTGACAAGGTGAAGCAAGTCACATGATCACAGGACAGGTGGCCCTTCCTTCTTAGGTAGCCAAAGCACACAGAGAGAAGGCAGCATAGGTCAGTGTTTTCTTCTATGCACTTATAAGAAAGATCAAAGACTTTAAGACTGTCACCATTTCTGCTACCGCTATCTACTACGAACTTCAAAGAGGAACCAGGAGTATGGGAGGAACATGAAAGTGGACAAGGAGAGTGACCATTGAAGCACAGCACCACAGGGAGGGGTTTAGGCCTCCGGATGACTGCGCGCAGGCCTGGATAATATCCAGCCTCCCACCAGAAGCTGCTGGAGCAGAGTTTTCCCTGACTCCTCCAAGGAAAGGAGACTCCCTCTCGCAGTCTGCTAAGTAACCGGTGCCTTCCCAGACACTGGCGTTACCGCTTGACCAAGGAGCCCTCAAGCGGCCCTTATGCAGGCGTGACAGAAGGCTCACCTCTTGCCTTCTAGGTCACTTCTCACAATGTCCCTTCAGCACCTGACCCTATACCCACTGGTTATTCCTAGGTTATATTAGTAATGCAACAAAGAGTAATATTAAAAGCTAATGATTAATAATGTTTATAATAATGATTGATAATTGTTCATGATCATCTCTATATCTAATTTGTATTATGACTATTCTTATTCTAACTATTTTCTTTATTATACTGAAACAGTTTGTGCCTTCAGTCTCTTGCCTCGGCACCTGGGTAATCCTCCGCCCTCAGAGACAAGGAATCAAGGGTGAGTCCATTAAGGCAATTTGCACAAGAAATCCCCAGTAAGAAAGTAAGTGGGCCGGGCTTGGTGGCTCATGCCTGTAATCCCAGCATTTTGGGAGGCCGAGGCAGGCGGATCACGAGGTCAGGAGATCAAGACCACCCTGGCTAACACAGCGAAACCCTGTCTCTACTAAAAATACAAAAAAAAAAAAAAATTAGCTGGTCATGGTGGCAGGTGCCTGTAGTCCCAGCTACTCAGGAGGCTGAGGCAGGAGAATGGCGTGAACCTGGGAGGCAGAGCTTGCAGTGAGCTGAGATCGCACTACTGCACTCCAGCCTAGGCAACAGGGCGAGACTCCATCTCAAAAAAAAAAATTAAGTGGTAGAACTTGCATATATTAAAAAAAAAAAAAAAAAAGCCCAAGCTGTCTGGACTCCAGAATCTGAACTCGTAGTGGGTATCATGGAGAGAGGGAAAAGTATAAATATAAAAAAGAGAAAATATGTAACAAAAGAGAAATTAATTCCTGCTGTATGTGGAGGAGACATTACAGGTAATTGGTCTCACAAGTGCCAAAATATACGCTACAGCAGGTGTCCCCAGCTACTGGGCCAGGGACTGGTACTTGTCTGTAGCCTATTAGGAGCCAATTCACACAGCAGGAGGTGAGCGGTGGGCGAGTTAGCATTACCACCTGAGCTCTGCCTCCTGTCAGATCAGCAGCAGCGTTAGATTCTCATAAGATTGCAAACCCTATTGTGAACTGCACATGCAATGGATCTAGGTTGCATGCTGTTTTTGAGAATCTAATGCCTGATGATCTGTCACTGTCTCCCATCACCTCCCAGATGGGACTGTCTAGTTGCAGGCAAACAAGCTCAGGGCTCCCACTGATTCTACATGATGGTGAGTTGTATAATTATTTCATTATATATTACAATGTAACATAATAGAAATAAAGTGCACAATAAATGTAATGTGCTTGCATCATCTTGAAACCATCCCCGCATCCAGTCCATGGAAAAATTGTCTTCCATGAAACTGGTCCCTGGTGCCAAAAAGATTGGAGACCACTGCTCTATGGGATCCATGAGCCTTGTACTTTACCCTAAACCAGTGAATTCACAAAGTCAAGGAGTCAGAATGGGTTTCCAAAGCTCTCCTTGAATGGAAGCAACCAGAAACTGTGGTGTAGATTTTACTTTTACAAAAGTGAAACAATTCTTTTGAATAGAATAACTTTTTATTCTCCTGCTTAGGAGAATGTTCACGTGTCCTTTGATAAAAATATTTACACTTATGTATGTATTCACATCGCCGAGTTGGAAAGCAGAATAGGTAGAAGTTCTTTATAACATCTGATATGCAAGAATATGATAATTTTAGACTTTTTGTCCTACAAAGTAGTCCTATGGACCAAAGGTGGATGGCAGATTTATTACTGTTCTTGGGAATTCAGGATGGGTGTCAAACAGCGATAATCATATTTCATTATGGTCTAGAGTAATTTTAGAAGTTCATTCTGAAAGTTCCAGCATGTATTATTGATTATTGTTCTATATGAATTAATCACAGATGAAATGTAAGATAGAGTGGTGTCTTGTACAATGAGTTACATAAAATTAAACGGGTCTATACAAAACTTCTTAGTGGTAGAAAAGAACAGTAACTGCAATACACCACAAGAGGGCAAACTGGTACTGTTGAATATCAGTAACTTGGCTGCAAAGAGTGCAATGAAAGACAAGGTGATGTCAGATCCAAGCCAGTTTACTTTTCTGCAATCATTCAAAGATCAAATCAGAAAGCTTTTCTTTAGTAAGTTTTGTGGTATTTGAGAAAAGTAATAAGGTCTTACTAGTTAGTAAATAAAGCATACTGCTTTTTACTTTCATTGAAAAAAATAAGATTTGTCTCTAAAAATATATTTTCCTGGGTTAATATTGTATTAGATACATACTTTGTATCATCACCAATTGTCAAGAAAATTTGGGGAAAATTAAAAGAAAAAATTATTTTCTTTTTTATCAGCAGTGTACAGCAATATAGCAAAACAAGCTACAAATAGGTGAAATTGGGGTTCACTTTAGCAGACAGGAGAAAGGTTAACAAGGTTAAGGTTAATATGATAAATAAATTATGGCAGAGAATTGAGGCAAATGAATAGAGATTCAGACAGTTCTCCCTGACGCTTCCCCTTACACATGTAACTAGGTGATTCATTGTAGATTAAAGAATGCCATTTGACAGGGCACTTTGGCTCACGTCTGTAATCCCAGCACTTTGGGAGGCCGAGGCGGGCAGATCACGAGGTCAGGAGATTGAGACCATCCTGGCCAACATGGTGAAACCCCATCTCTACTAAAATACAAAAATTAGCCAGGTGTGGTTGCGGGCACCTGTAATCCCAGCTACTCAGGAGGCTGAGGCAGGAGAATCGCTTGAACCTGAGAGGTGGAGGCTGCAGTGAGCTGAGATCCCACCACTGCACTCCAGCCTGGGCGACAGAGCAAGACTCTGTCTCAAAAAAAAAAAAAAAAAAGCATTTATAAACAAGACTGTCCATTAATTTTTAGGCCCTAAATTGTCTTTTTAATAACGAGTGCAATCTGAAAATGAGGTTCTTTGTATGTTGTGGCCTGAAGATAACGATAAAAGATAAAGAAACATTGGCAAACTGCAAAATCCTCACAGCACATGCAGTTTAGAGTGATGCTAGAAGTAATGTGATGTTTCCCTATTGAAAGAAAACTTATAAATATTTTCACTAGGAATGTTCCGTTAGTCCAGGGGTTGGCAACTTTTCCTTTAAAGAGCCAGATAGGACTGGGTGCGGTGGCTCACGCCTGTAATCCCAGCACTTTGGGAGGCCGAGGCGGGAGGATCACAAGGTCAGGAGTTCGAGACCATCCTGGCTAACACGGTGAAACCCCATCTCTACTGAAAATAGAAAAAAATTAGCCTGGTGTGGTGGCAGGCGCCTGTAGTCCCAGCTACTCAGGAGGCTGAGGCAGGAGAATGGTGTGAACCTGGGAGGCAGAGGTTGCAGTGAGCCGAGATCGCGCCACTGCACTCCAGCCTGGGTGACAGAGCGAGACTCCGTCTCAAAAAAAAAAAAAAAAAGAGCCAGATAATAAATACTTCTGGTTTTGCAGGCCATCTGGTCTCTGTCTACTTCTGGCTACTCCTTTTTGCCACTGTAGTGTAAAAACAGTCAGAGACAAGCAAATGAATGGACGTCATTGTGTTCCAATAAAACTTTAGTTAACAAAAATAGATGTCAGGCTAGAATGGCCCCTGGGTTGCAGTTCGTTAAACCCCACTTTAGTCTAGCTGTGGACCCCTTCATAGTAAAGGAGTAAATGAGAAGGAGAAATAAACTTGAGACTTGGACGTAGGGACACAAATAGCCTATAACTGGAGAGCAGAAGGTTATAAAAATCTCCACCTCAGGTCCCAAGAGATGTTCAACACTCAGAGTCTTAACAAGAAGCAAAAATTGTCTTAGGAAAAAGCGTATTTTAGAAAATTGGTTGAAACACATCCATAGCCTCATGCTTAAAATATGTAAATCCTGAAAGTGAAGTAAATCTAAAAATGTATGAGCTGGGGATTCTGTCCTGAGCATCAGAAGCCCGGGCATTTTGAGCCATCAAGAAGTAAGGAAATGCTTGAATCTTGCAGGAAACAGTAGGGTTTTGCAGCAAGACCATTGTGGGTGACAAATTCGCTCCAAAAAGCACCCTCATTTTCTGAGTGTAAGGAAACATCCCATAAATTACACCTCACAGACATTTCTAAAAGACCACTGGAAATTTAAAAATTTTGAAAACTTATTTCGTCATTTGTAGAAAGAACAAATTTTCAAAGAGTGACACATGCATTCTACTTTGATTTGAAAGATGAGCTAAGTTTTTCATGAAATCAACTAATTAATTGCTGGGGGAAAAAATGGCTTAAAAGAGTATATACTGCAATGGTGCCCAAGTCTGGCTGTAGGAAAATGTCAAGGAGACTTTTGTCAATGAAAAGTGGCAAACTCTGTAAAATATTTGAAGAGATGTATTCTCAGGTAAATATGAGTGACCAATGGCCTCTGACACAGCCCTCAGAAGATTTTGAGAACACGCACCCGAGGTGGTCGGAGTACAGCTTGGTTTTATACATTTTTGGGAGACATGAGACATCAATGAATACATGTAAGATGTATATTGGTTTGGTCCAGAAAGGTGGGACAACTCAAAGCAGGAGACCTTCCAGGTTATATGTAGCTTTAAAGATTTTCTGATTGGCAATTTGTTGAAAGAGTTATTATCAATAGAAAGGAAGGTCTGGTTACAATAAGGGGTTGTAGAAACCAAGGTTTTATCGTGCAGATGAAGTCTCCTGGTAGCAGCCTTCAGAGAATAGATTGTAAATGTTTCTTATCAGATTTAAAGAGTCTGTTCTGTCAATAATTCCAAAATGGAGGAGGGTATAATGAGGCATGTCCAGCTCCCCACTCCCATCGTGGCCTGAACTAGTTTTTTCAGGTTAACTTTGAAATGCCCTTGGCTGAGAGGAGGGGTCCATTCTGTTGGTTGGGGGCGGGGGCCTTAGAATTTTATTTTTTGATTTACTTTTTTTTTTTAAAAAAGCAACACAGCTTCCCAGATTTTACTCCAAACACTGAATTGGATTTTCTGGAGCCTGTGTGTGACACAGGCATTTTTATGACACTTCCCAGGTGAGTCTTGGTAGAAACCAGGCTAGCACCAGTCCAGGGAGTGGTATTTAGGAAAGAAAAGGACAAAGTATAAAACTTGGGTTTGATTTTGACCATTGTTGGGGCCAAGGAAAAACTATTTCACCCTCTGAAGGTCTGGTGAAAAATCAACTCACAAAAGGCATAAAAATCTATTAATGTGCACACAGGGGAGAACCACAGAGCGCATGCAAGGACAAAGCTGAACTGCAACAGGAATTTGGAATTGAAAGCCAGTTCCAGTCCCTAATGGGGTGCAGAAGCTTATATACCATCCTGAAGTACAGAAAGGATAGAGGCTCAGAGCATGGCCGATAAAAGGTTACGGTGGTAAATCAGGTTATAGTGATAAGACAGGCTACAAGAGGGAGAGAAGAGGAGGCCTGTAGCAAAGGTGGTCTTGTTATGTAGGTGAAAATTCACAGCTGGCAGCCCTCCAAGAGGGAGAGAAGAGGAGGCCTGGCTAGAAAAGTTGGTCTTGTTATGTAGGTGAAAATTCATAGCTGGCAGCCCTCCAAGAGGGAGAGAAGAGGAGGCCTGGCTAGAAAAGGTGGTCTTGTTATGTAGCAGACCTCAGACTGAATAGATGATGAATGTTTCTTTCAGGCCTTTAAAGGTGTCAAACTCTCAGTTTATCTTTCCTAGATCCAGACAAGAAAGGGCCTGGGTGCACCGATGCAGATTCTCTACAGAGGTGAATCTTCCTCACAAAAGACAGCTTTGCAGGACAACTTCTGTTTACTGGCTCTGTAACAGCCATCTCAAAATATGTCAACTAAATATATTTGCGTTAAAATATTTTGATTTCCTTCACTATGCTGAGTTCAAAGCTGCACCCTGCCATGTATTAGTCATTTGTCCCTGAGCTGGTGATGTACTCTTTTAAGGCTTCAGTTACCATCCCCATGACATGAAGCCAGTGTTTGTCCCTAAGGTAAGGATGGAAAATCTGAGAATGTGACTCTGTGTGGGCTTCAAGTATACATGCTTTATCTCTTTCACACCCTTCTCCTCTTT
Source organism: Homo sapiens (assembly GCF_000001405.40). NCBI lineage: Eukaryota > Metazoa > Chordata > Mammalia > Primates > Hominidae > Homo > Homo sapiens. The sequence goes on from NT_187627.1 coordinate 79,580, forward strand.
CTTCCTGGGAACAATATAACTGGATTTGCTTCACTCAGCAATATACAGAATTTTACTGAAAATGAGAGCCTTTGGAGAAAATATATTATTTTAGCTTTGTTCCATTGAAGCATTTCTTCCTGAATTTCCTGAGAACTCTGGGTTTATTTATTTTTTAGACTTTTGATTTTATTTATTTATTTATTTTAACTCTTTTTTTCCAATAAGTTATTGGGGTTCAGGTGGTATTTGGTTACATGGGTAAGTTCTTTAGTGGTGATTCGTGAGATTTTGGTGCACCCATCACCCAGGCAGTATACACTGCACCATATTTGTAATCTTTTATCCCTCATCCCCCTCTCACTCTTCCCCCTAAGTCCCCAAAGTCCATTGTATCGTTCTTATGCCTTTGTGTCCTCATAGCTTAACTCCCACACATCAGTGAGAACATATGATGTTTGGTTTTCCATTCCTGTGTTACTTCATTTAGAATAATAGTCTCCAATCTCATACAGGTAACTGCAAATGCTGTTAATTCATTCCTTTTTATGCCTGTGTAGTATTCCAATGTGTGTGTGTGTGTGTGTGTGTGTGTGTGTGTGTGTGTGTGTGTGTGTATATATACATATCACAGTTTCTTTATACACTTGTTGATTGATGGGCATTTGGATTGGTTCCATGATTTTGCAATTGTGAATTGTGCTGCTATAAACATGCATGTCAAGTATCTTTTTTGAATAATGACTTATTTGCCTCTGGGTAGTAGTGGGATTGCTGGATCAAATGGTAGTTTACTTTTAGTTCTTTAAGGAATCTCCACACTGTTTTCCATAGTGGCTGCACTAGTTTCCATTCCCACCAGCAGTGTAGAAGTGTTCCCTGTTCATCATACCCATACCAAACATCTACTGTGTTTTGATTTTTTGATTATGGCCATTCTTGCAAGAGTAAGGTGGTATCGCATTATGGTTTTGATTTGCATTTCCCTGATCATTAGTAATGTCGAGCATTTTTCCATACGTTTGTTGGCCATTTGTATATCTTCTTTTGAGAATTGTCTATTCATATCCTTAGCCCAGTTTTTGATGGGATTGTTAGTTTTTTTCTTACTGATTTGTTTGAGTTCATTGTAGATTCTGGATATTAATCCTCTGTCAGATGTGTAGATTGTGAAGATTTTCTCCCATTCTGTCTGTTTACTCTGCTGACTGTTCCTTTTGCTGTGCAAAAGCTCTTTAGTTTAATTAGGTCCCAACTATTTATCTTTGTTTTTGCTCCATTTGCTTTTGGGTTCTTGGTCATGAAATTCTTGCCTCAGCCAATGTCTAGAAGGGCATTTCCAATGTTATCTTCTAGAATTTTTTATAGTTTCAGGTCTTAGGTTTAAGTCCTTAATCCATCTTGAGTTGATTTTTTATAAGGTGAGAGATGAGGATCCAGTTTCATTCTCCTACATGTGTCTAGCCAATTATCCCAGGATCATTTGTTGAAAAGGGTGTCCTTTCCCCACTTTATGTTTTCATTTGCTTTGTTGAAGATCAGTTGGCTGAAAGTATTGGGTTTATTTCTGGATTCTCTTTTCTTTTCCATTGGTCTATGTGCCTATTTTTATACCAGTACCATGCTGTTTTGGTGACTATGGCCTTATGGTATGAGTTCTGCTCTGATCTTGGTTATTTCCTATCTTCTGCTGGGTTTGGGTTTGAAATCAAGTAGTGTGATGCCTCCAGATTTGTTCTTTTTGCTAAGTCTTGCTTTGGCTGTGTGGGCTCTTTTTTGGTGCCATATGAATTTTAGAATTGTTTTTTCTAATTCTGTGAAGAGAGATGGTGGTATTTTGATGGGGATTGCATTGGATTTGTAGATTTCTTTTGGCAGTATGGTCATTTTCAAACAATATTGATTCTACCCATCCATGAGCATGAGATATGTTTCCATTTGTGCCATCTATGATTTCTTTCAGCAGTGTTTTTTAGTTTTCCTTGTAGAAGTCTTTCTACTCCTTTGTTAGGTATATTCCTAAGGTTTTTGTTTGTTTGTTTGTTTGTTTGTTTTGTTTTTTTTTTCAGCTATTGTAAAAGGGGTTGAGTTCTTGATTTGATTCTCTGCTTGGTCGCTGTTGCTGTTTAGAAAAGTTACTGATTTGTATACATTAATCTTGTCTCCAGAAACTTTGCTGAATTCTTCTATCAGTTCTAGGAGCTTTCTGGAGGAATCCTTAGGTTTTTCAAGGTAAACAGTCAGCAAATGGTGACAGTTTGACTTCCTTTTTACCTGTTTGGATGCCCTTTATTTCTTTCTGTTGTCTGATTGCTCTGGCTAGGATTTCCAGTACTATGTTGAAGAGGAGTGGTGAGAGTGGACATCCCTGTCTTGTTCCCATTCTCAGAGGAAATGCTTTCAACTTTTCCCCATTCATTATTATGTCGACTGTGGGTTTTTCATAGATGGCTTTTATTACATTAAGGTATGTCCCTTATATGCCAATTTTGCTGAGAGTTTTAACCATAAAGGGATGCTGGATTTTGTCAAATTTTTTTTTCTGCATCTATTGAGATGATCATGTGATTTTTGTTTTTAATTCTGTTTATGTGGTGTATCACATTTATTGACTTGCGTATGTTAAACCATCCGTGCATTCCTGGTATTAAACCCACTTGCTCATGATGGATTATCTTTTTGATATGTTGCTGGATTCGATTAGCTAGTATTTTGTTAAGGATTTTAGCATCTATGTTCTTCAAGGATATTGGTCTGTAGTTTTCTTTTCTGGTTTTGGTATTAGGGTGATATTGGCTTCACAGAATGAATTAGGGAGGGTTCCTTCTTTCTCTGTCTTGTGGAATAGTGTCAATAGGATTGGTATCAATTCTTCTTTGAATGTCTAGTAGAATTCTGCTGTGATTCCGTCTGGTCCTGGACTTTTTTTTGTTGGTAATTTTTAAATTACAATTTCAATCTCACTGCTTGTTACTGGTCTGTTCAGGGTATCTAATTCTTCATGATTTAAGCTAGGAGGGTTGTATTTTTCAAGGAGTTTATTCATCTATTTTAGGTTTTCTAGTTTATATGCATAAGGGTGTTCATAGCAGCCTTGAATGAACTTTTGTATTTCAGTGGTGTCAGTTGTAATATCTCCTGTTTCCTTTCTTAGTGAGGTTATTTAGATTTTCTTTCTTCTTTTTGTGGTTATCTTGCTAATGGTCTATCAATTTTACTTATCTCTCAAAGAACCAGCTGTTTGTTTCATTTATCTTCTGTCTTGTCTTTTTATTTCAATTTCATTTAGTTCTGCTCTGATCTTGGTTATTTCCTCTGTTCTGCTGGGTTTGGGTTTGGTTTGTTCTTGTTTCTCTAGTTCCTTGAGATGTAACCATAGATTGTCTATTTGTGATCTTTCAGACTTTTTGATGTAGGCATTTATGACTATGCAGTTTCCTCTTAGCACTGCCTTTGCTGTATCCCAGAGGTTTTGATAGATTGTGTCATTATTGTCATTCAGTTCAAAGAATTTTTAAATTTCCATCTTGATTTCCTTTTTGACGCAATGCTCATTGAGGAGCCAGTTATTTAATTTCCATGTATTTGCATGGTTTTGAAGATTCCTTTTGGAGTTGATTCCCAGTTATATTCCACTGTGGTCTGAGAGAGTGCTTGATATAATTTCGATTTTCTTAAATTTTTTGAGGCTCATTTTATGGCCTATCATATTGTCTGTCTTGGAGAAAGTTCCATGTGCTGTTGAATAGAATGTGTGTTCTGTGGTTGTTGGATGAAATGTTCTGTGTATATCTGTTAAGTCCATTTGTTCCAAGATATAGTTTAAGTCCACTGTTTCTTTGTTGAATTTATGTCTTGATGACCTGTCTAGTGCTGTCTGTGGAGTATTGAAGTCCCCCACTATTATTATGTTTCTGTCTATCTCATCTCTTAGGTCTATTAGCAATCGTTTTATAAATTTGAGACCTCCAGTGTTAGGTGCATATATGTTTAGGATTGTGATATTTTCCCACTGGACAAGGCCTTGTACCTCTTTGTCTCTTTTAGCAGATGTTGCTTTAAAATTTGTTTTGTCTGATATAAGAATAGCTACTCCTGCTTGCTTTTGGTGTTCATTTGCACGAAATGCCTTTTTATACCCCTTTACTTTAAACTTACGTGAGTGCTTATGTGTTAGTTGAGTCTCTTCAAGGCAGCATATAGTTGGTTGGTGAGTTCTTATCCATTCTGTGGTTCTCTATCTTTTAAGTGGAGCACTTAGGCCATTTACATTCAACGTTAGTATTGAAACGTGAGGTACCATTGCTTTCATCATGTTCCTTGTTGCCTGTGTACTTTGGTGGTTTCTTTTTTGTTTTTGCTTTTTAACTTGTATTTTTGTTTTATAGGTTCTATGTGATTTATGTTTTAAAGAGGTTCTATTTTGATTTGTTTCAAGATTTAGAGCTCCTTTAAGCAGTTCTTGTAGTGGTGGCTTGGAAGTGGCAAATTCTCTCAACATTTGTTTGTCTGAAAAAGACTATTTTTTCTTCATGTATGATGCTTAGTTTCACTGCATACAAAATTCTTGGCTCATAATTGTTTTGTTTGAGGAGGCTGAAGGTACGTCCCCAATCCCTTCTAGCTTGTAGGGTTTCTGCTGAGAAATCTGCTGTTAATCTGATAGGTGTTCCTTTGTAGGTTACTTGGTGCTTCTGTCTTGTGGCTTTTAAGATTCTTTCCTTTGTCTTAACTTTGGATAACCTGATGACAATGTGGCTAGGCAAAGATCTTTTTGCAATGAATTTCCCAGGTGTCCTTTGTGCTTCTTGTACTTGGCTCTCTAGATCTCTCACAAGGCCAGGGAATTTTTCCTTAATTATTCCCTCAAACATGTTTTCCAGGCTTTTAGAATTCTCTTCTTCCTCAGGTACACCAATTTTTCTTAGGTTTGGTTGTTTAACATAATCCCAGACTTCTTGGAGGCTTTGTTTATATTTTCTTATTCTTTTCTCTTTGTCAGATTGGGTTAATTCAAAGACCTTGTCTTTGAGCTCTGAATTTCTTCCTTCTACTTGTTCAATTCTATTGCTGTGACTTTCCAGAGCATTTCAGATTTCTAAAAGTGTGTCCAAAGTTTCCTGAATTTTTATTGTTTTTTCTTTAAGTGATCTATATCCATGAATATTTCTCCCTTCACTTCTTGTATCAGTTTTTTGGATTTCTTTGCATTGGGCTTCACCTTTCTCTGGTCCCTCCCTGATTAGCTTATTAACTAACCTCCTGAATTCTTTTTTCAGGTAAATCAGGGATTTCTTCTTGGTTTGGATCCATTGCTGGTGAACAAGTGTGATTTTTTGGGGGTATTGAAGAGCCTGGTTTTGTCATATTACCAGGATTGGTTTTCTGGTTCTTTCTCATTTGGGTAGGCTCTGTCAGAGGGAAGGTCTAGGGCTGAAGGCTGTTGTTCAGGTTCTTTTGTCCCATGGGGTGTTCTCTTGATGTAGTACTGTCTCCCTTTTCCTATAGATGTGGCTTCCTGTGAGCTGAACTGCAGTGATTGTTGTCTCTCTTCTGGGTCTAGCCACCCAGCGAGTTTCCCAGCTCTGGGCTGGTACTGGGGTTTGTCTGCACAGAGTCCTGTGATGTGAACCATCTATGGGTCTCTCAGCTGTGGTTACCAGCACCTTTTCGGGTGGAACTGGCAGAAGGTGCAATGGGCTCTGTGAGGTTCCTTAGCTTTGGTGGTTTAATGCTCTATTTTTGTGCTGTTTGGCCTCCTGCCAGGAGGTGGCGCTTTCCAGAAAGCATCAGCTGCAGTAGTGTGGAGAGGGACTGGCAGTGGGTGTGGCCCTAGAACTCCCAAGATTATATGCCCTTTGTCTTGCACTACCGGGGTGGATAGGCTAGGACCACCAGGTGGGGGCAGGGCTGGGTGTGTCTGAGCTCAGACTCTCCATGGGCGGGTCTTGCTGCTGCTGCTGTGGGGGATAGGGTTGAGGTTCCCAGGTCACTGGACTTGTGTACCTAGCAGGATTATGGCTGCCTCTGCTGAGTCATGCAGGTTGTCAGGGAAGTGGGGGAAAGCCGGCAGTCACAGACCTCACCCAGCTCCCATGCAAACTGAAGGGCTGGTCTCACTCCCACCATGCCCTGGCCAACAGCCCAGAATCTGTTTCCAGGAGGAGGGTGAGATGGGCTTGAAAATTTGCCTGAGGCTATCCACCTCCCAGCTGGGAGAGAATAACGCTTTAGTTCTTCTCCTGCCTGTGAAGTCTGCATGCCTGATTCGTGCCCTCCCGAGTTCTTGCCCAGAGGCTTCTTGCCCTGTTCAAATTGTTACAAAGTTCAGCTAGAGAATTCCTTCTCCCTGTAGTTTCACCCCCTGCTCCTCTGGCCACCCTCCTGATGTGTGGTCCCAGGCAGGAACTGGCTGCTTAGGGACCCAGCGAGCTCCCAGGGCCTTTCTGCTGCTTCCTCTACCCCATATTTCACTCGGCTCTCTAACTGGACTCGGCACCAGGTAAAGTCGAAAACTTCTCCCTCAAACAGAACTTCGGTTTCTCCAGTGGGTGTGTGTGTCCAGGAGAGGTGGATCTTCCTTTCCCACTTCTATGGTTGGGACACTCACAGTATTTGGGGTGTCTCCCAGGTCCTGCAGGAGCAGTCTGCTTCCTTCAGAGGATCTGTAGTTCCTCTCGGTGTTGCTGGTTTGTTTTTGCAGTCAATGTATTTGACTTTTTAAAATTCTGGTCCAACGTATTTTAAATCCCCAATTCATGGGTTATAATCACAAAGACATAAGGATGAATTTGAGGCTCTGGAACTGAGCTCCTGGGTCTCTGTCTTGCCTGATCCTCTTAGCTGGAGGCAGAGTCAGAGCTCTGGGTTTAGGTCACTTGAGCAGGTACAGAATAGTGTGAGTGATGGATGGGTTAATATGCCTACCATCTCTTCTCTTAAGCACCAGGTGGGGAGAAGACCAAGCAGGGAGATGTCAAGTCCTCATGTCAGGGGCATTTGAACTAGAGTGACTCCATCTTGAATGGGGGCTAGGTAAAATAAGGCTGAGACCTGCTGGGCTGCATTCCCAGGAGGTTAAGGCATTCTTAGTCACAGGATGAGATAGGAAGTCAGCACAAGATACAGTTAACAAAGACCTTGCTGATAAAATAGCATGTGGTAAAGAAGCTGGCCAAATCCCACCAATGCCAAGATGGCGACAAAAGTGACTTCTGATCACTTTCATTATATGCTAATTGTCATTACACACTAATTAGAATGTATTAACATCCTAAAAGACATACCCACCAGCACAACAACAGTTTACAAATGCCATGGGAATGTCAGGGCAATCTAAAAAAAGGGGGAACCCTCAGTTCCAGGAATTGCCCACCCTTTTCCTGGGAAATTCATGAATAATCCACCCCTTCTTTAGCAGATAATCAAGAAATAAACATAAAAATAGGCAACCGGAAGCCCTTGGGGGTGCTCTGCCTATGGAGTAGCCATTCTTTTATTCCCTTACTTTCTTAATAAACTTGCTTTCACTTTATGACCTTGTCCTGGATTCTTTCTTACACAAGGTCCAAGAACCCTCTCTTAGAGTGTGGATCAAGACCCTTTTCTGTTAACGCTCAGATATCCCTTCAAGTCTTAGCTTGTGCTGACTTTCTTGGCTTAAGGCAATTCCAAACTTACTGCTCAGAAACTGGCTTTCAATTCCAAATTCCTGTTGCACTTGAGCTGTGTTCTTACATGCAGGTGTAGGAGGTTTTTGCTCCTTTGTTAGAGGTTAAAGCAGCAGTGAAGTAAGCCACCCCTGCTGCTCCTTAATTTATTTATTTTTTCATTTTCTCTCTGGTTTATTTGAAGGAAGAAGAACAGAACAATGTTAGCCCCTCTGAATCTTGAGTGTGGAAAATTACGGGGCCACCTACCAATTGTTACTGGCAGGAGACGTAATAAGAGAGCCAGGAGCTGGCAACTCTCCTTCCTCTGGCCAGGAGTTTTCTTCTTACTCATTAGCAATTATTTATCTGCTCTTTGGAAGGAGGAGTTGTTCCTCCTTGCACGTGCTGTGCTGAATGAACTCACCAGAAGGAAAATAATTTCACAGTGCATGTTTTTTTTTTTTTTTTTTGAGACGGAGTCTCGCTGTCACCCAGGCTGGAGTGCAGTGTCACGATCTCGGCTCACTGCAGGCTCCGCCCCCCGGGGTTCACGCCATTCTCCTGCCTCAGCCTCCCGCGTAGCTGGGACTACAGGTGCCCGCCACCTCGCCCGGCTAATTTTTTGTATTTTTAGTAGAGATGGGGTTTCACCGTGTTAGCCAGGATGGTCTTGATCTCCTGACCTCTTGATCCGCCCGCCTCGGCCTCCCAAAGTGCTGGGATTACAGGCGTGAGCCACCGCACCCGGCCTCATAGTGCACGTTTTTAAAGCTCCCTCCATGGTAGGAAAGTTTTTGTGGAACAGAAGAAAATTGGAGGTTAGCAATCATTTTATTATTTTGTTAAATGAAGAAAGCCAGGAAAAATAAAATTCCTGGTAAAGAAAGAGTTGCTTCAGTTTACTGCTCTGGGGTGGCTTCTCCAGTGATTCTGGCCGGTGCATTAGGAAGCCAAGTTTGCATTTTGGAGGTTGTGGACTCAGCATATGAGTCAAGTTTCTTTGCAAAGAAAACCTGAGGGTTTTGTTGTATTCTAATTTATAATTAGGCATTAGGCAAAGTAGCAATGAAGGATCTTACTTCAGCAGGTTTACTGCTTGATTTTGCTTTTGGTTCTACTTAGCAACTTTAAGTAGAGTAAAGGAAGCAGCTATACTCCTTCAGGGAATCAAGATATGACAATTGGACATTTGGATATTCATGTGTTTTTTTAGGATGGAACCTCTATAAATGGAATGACACTTCTAAGGTCCAAAAGTAAATATAAATTTTAAATTGTTCTTTTAAATCTATGCACATTTCTCAGAATCTCAGAAAAAATAAACATTCCAAGAATAAAATGTGATTTGTATTATTTCTACTAAAAAAAAAAAAAAACTCCCAAGCCAAATACCAAAGCAATGCACATCTGTTGAAATTAGGAATACAGTTATTAAATAAAGCTAAAAAATACACATCTGAAAAATAAAAGGCAACACAAAGATTAGTGACTTGCTACTATTTTTTATTTGATTTTATTTGCACGTTAGCAATCCTGAAATTAAAAAGAGTCGCACCTTGAAAGATAAACTAAGTATTCATGGTTTTTATTTTTTATTTTATTTGTTTATTTTTTTGAGACAAAGTCTCACTCTGTTGCCCAGGCTGGAATACAGTGGTGCGATCTTAGCTCACTGCAACCTCCGCCTCCTGGATTCAATCGATTCTCTGCCTCAGCCTCCTGAGTAGCTGGGATTACAGGCGCCCACCACCACGCCTGGCTAATTTTTGTATTTTTAGTAGAGACAGGGTTTCACCATCTTGGCCTGGCTGGTCTTGAACTTTGGACTTCGTGATCCACCTGCCTCAGCCTCCCAAAGTGCTGGTATTATAGGCGTGAGCCACTGCACTCGGCCTCTTGGTTTTTATTTTTACAAGATAGAAGTTCAAGGGATTATTTTGAAGTGAAAATAATAGTGTTACTTTTGGTGGTTAAATGATTGCTTTACCATTCCAAGCACTTTTGACATCCATGGTGGAGGAACTTTGTTTAAGCCAGAAGAAAGGTTTTCCATGCGGCTCTCCTTACAGTGCTTTCTAGAGATGGGCTATGACACACAGCGACACTGGTTAATAATAGTACTTCCCTATGAGTGAACATTTTAAGTATGGTTAAAAAATAGGTAACAAATGATGCAAAAGCAATATAGCTGATCTAGCTAAAATGTTGCTTTATAAAAACTAGATATCTTGGCACCATCTTTGCCTTTGTCCCGTCTGCCTCTAATCTGTGACCAAGTTCTCAGTCCCTTCCTCTCCATTCTCTCTGCCACTACTTTGAGAAATTATTCCTTCACTGTCTTTTTCCCTAAACTATGACACCAGTTTCTTTTTTCTTTTTTTTTTTTTTTTGAGACAGAGTCTCGCACTTTCGTCCAGGCTAGAGTGCAGTGGCGGGATCTCGGCTCACTGCAAGCTCTGCCTCCCAGGTTCACGCCATTCTCCTGCCTCAGCCTCCCGAGTAGCTGGGTCTACAGGTGCCCGCCACCGCGCCCGGCTAATTTTTGTATGTTTTTTTTAGTAGAGACAGGGTTTCACCGTGTTAGCCAGGATGGTCTCGATCTCCTGACCTCGTGATCCACCCGCCTCGGCCTCCCAAAGTGCTGGGATTACAGGCGTGAGCCACCGCACCCGGCCGACACCAGTTTCTAAATGCTTTGCTGCATTTCCCCCTATTTTTTTTTTTAATAATTCATCCTCCTGAAACATAAACCCCAAAATGTCATCCACTTGCTGAAAACCTTGGTTTGCATAACTCTCTGTTTGCAACAACTGTTTTCTCTGGGGTTGTCCATATTTTGGGTTAAGACCTTCACTAATGGCCAGGACTCAGCCCACAGAAAAGGGAGTGTCAGGGTTTGGCAGATCGTTAGGCCCCAGTCAAGTAATTAAGAGTTCTTCCTGCAGCTGCCAGCTTTGGGGAAGACTGGGTCGCTGCTGATGATGTTGAGTCAGGAGCCCAGCTATGTACACTGGGCACATGTGGGGAAGGATGGGAGAAGGCTGGAGCCCCAGTGGTCATGAACTGCCCAAGCACTCAGGCAATGCACAGTAATAGCAGGACTAAGCCCAGAGCCTGCACTCTGATGGATACGAGATAACCAGCCCACTTCCTGCCTCGTTCAGGAACTCTACAAGGCCAAACCTATTCATTTTATTTATTTATTTATTTAGAGATGGAGTCTCACTCACTTTGTCATCCAGGCTGCAGTGCAGTGGCGCAATCTCGGCTTACTGCAACCTCCGCCTCCCGGATTCAAGCGATTCTTCTGCCGAAGGTGTGGTTTGCCCCTCCACACCTGTGGGTGTTTCTCGTTAGGTGGAACGAGAGACTTGGAAAAGAAAGAGACACGGAGACAAAGTATAGAGAAAGAAATACGGGGGCCCAGGGGACCAGCGTTCAGCATACGGAGGATCCCGCCGGCCTCTGAGTTCCCTTAGTATTTAGTGATCGTTCTTGGGTGTTTCTCGGAGAGGGGGATGTGGCAGGGTCATAGGATAATAGTGGACAGAAGGTCAGCAGATAAACACGTGAACAAAGGTCTCTGCATCATAGACAAGGTAAAGAATTAAGTGCTGTGCTTTAGATATGCATACACATAAACATCTCAATGCCTTAAACAGCAGTACTGCTGCCCGCGTGTCCCACCTCCAGCCCTAAGGCAGTTTTCCCCTATCCCAGTAGATGGAATGTACAATTGGGTTTTACACCGAGACATTCCATTGCCCAGGGATGGGCAGGAGACAGATGCCTTCTTCTTGTCTCAACTGCAAAGAGGCGTTCCTTCCTCTTTTACTAATCCTCCTCAGCACAGACCATTTACGGGTGTCGGGCTGGGGGACGGTCAGGTCTTTCCCTTCCCACGAGGCCATATTTCAGACTATCACATGGGGAGAAACCTTGGACAATACCTGGCTTTCCTAGGCAGAGGTCCCTGCGGCCTTCCGCAGTGTTTGTGTCCCTGGGTACTTGAGATTAGGGAGTGGTGATGACTCTTAAAGAGCATGCTGACTTCAAGCATCTGTTTAACAAAGCACATCTTGCACAGCCCTTAATCCATTTCACCCTGAGCTGACACAGCACATGTTTCAGGGAGCACAGGGTTGGGGGTAAGATTACAGATTAACAGCATCTCAAGGCAGAAGAATTTTTCTTAGTACAGAACAAAATGGAGACTCCTATGTCTACTTCTTTCTACACAGACACAGTAACAATCTGATCTCTTTTTCTTTTCCCCACATTCTGCTTCAGCCTCTTGAGCGGCTGGGACTACAGGTGTGCATCACCACACCCAGCTAATTTTCATATTTTTAGTAGACATGGGTTTTTACCATGTTGGCCAGGCTGGTCTTGAACTCCTGACCCCAAGTGATCTGCCTGCTTTGGCCTCCCAAAGTTCTGGGATTACAGGCATGAGCCACTGTGCCTGGCTCCCATTTTAGATATTGGTAACGCAAGCGGGTAAAGACTAAGAATGACTTACTCCATTCTCTAAAGTAGTAGTTCCCAACATGGGCTAATCATATGAATTTCTTGGGAAGATTCCGGGGACCCATTATGAATGGTCTGAATCAGATTACCCAAGCAGATCCGACCCCAGGAATATGTATTTTAATCTAGTTTTCCAGGTGATTCCCACGTAGTCGGTTTGACAAGGCCTGGGGAACCAGTGAATAAGAGGGGGAAAATCAACATTCCTCACCATCACACCCAAGGCTGTTTACCACCAAAGTCCTATCATTCTGTAGCCATTCAGCTTTGTAGGTTTGTTACTTATTTATTTATTTATTTATTTATTTATTTATTTATTTATTGCTCCTCTCCTCTCTGGTATGTGATAATCCTGTGCACTTCTGTACATTTGCTCATATTTTTTGCTTTGATTTGAATGCTGTTTCCTATCTTCTTCATTTGGGAAGAAAAATCTTGTATTTATTTCAAGTTCCAACGACTGATTCATTGAGAGGGTTCCCTTGATCCTACCAGCAGAATTAATTGCTTCTTTTATGCTTTCAAAAAGCTTTGTTCATACCATTGGTAAGTATTTATCACACAGATTTATAGTTATAAGGTTAAGACATTCTGAATCACAAACCAGGACACATAATCCTGCAATCAGAATTGCCCCAGATAATGTAAGATCCTTGATTACCACAGTTACAGTTGCTTGTGTCTTCCCTGATAAAGTATGAATTCTTACAGGCCAGAGACAGTCCTGTATTCACCAGTGTAACTCACACAACCTTCAATATGGTACAATGGAAATAGAAGGTGTCTAATAAATGTTGGGCGTCCATGTGAGCATGGTGCTGCCATTTTGAGTGTCAAGATACACTTAGCACCACTCAGAACTGGGAGCACGACTCCTCTTAGAAGGTGAATGGAAAGAATGTTTTGTCTTTCTTTTTATTTGTCATATTTCAGTTAAGATCAGGCATAAAGTGTCATGTGTGTCTGTATGAAGACAGTCCACCACACAGGCTTTGTGTGAGCAACAGGGCTGTTTATTTCACCTGATGCAGGCGGGCTGAGTCCATAAAAGGAGTCAGCAAAGGGTGGTGGGATTATCATTAGTTCTTATAGGTTTGGGATAGGCGGTGGAGTTAGGAGCAATTTGTTGTGGGCAGGGGGTGGATCTCACAAAGTACCTTCTTAAGGGCGGGGAGAATATCACAAAGTACCTTCTTAAGGGCAGGGGAATATCACAAAGTACCTTCTTAAGGGCAGGGGAATATCACAAAGTACCTTCTTAAGGGCGGGGGAATATCACAAAGTACCTTCTTAAGGGCGGGGGAATATCACAAAGTACCTTCTTAAGGGCAGGGGAATATCACAAAGTACCTTCTTAAGGGCGGGGGAATATCACAAAGTACCTTCTTAAGGGTGGGGAGAATATCACAAAGTACCTTCTTAAGGGCGGGGGAATATCACAAAGTACCTTCTTAAGGGTGGGGAGAATATCACAAAGTACCTTCTTAAGGGCGGGGGAATATCACAAAGTACCTTCTTAAGGGCGGGGGAATATCACAAAGTACCTTCTTAAGGGCGGGGGAATATCAGAAAGTACATTATCACAAGGGCAGGGAGGGTGTATTGTCATAGGTCGATTGATCAGTTAGGGTGGGGCAGGAACAGGTCACAATGGTGGAATGTCATCTTTTGTGGATCTTCAGTTGCTTCAGGACATTTGGATGTATACGTGCAGGTCACAGGGGATATGATGGCTTAGCTTGGGCTCAGAGGCTTGACATAAAGCATGCTGGGATGTTAGTAGTACTGGGCCTGGAGGGTGAGGGAGGGAGGAACCCATGACCAGCTAGAATGGGGACAGGAGTTGGATGTATAAGATATATACAAGATCCCTGTTCTCATAAAACTTACATTCTAGCAGGGGAGATGGGCCAAACCAATTTGAACAAATACAGTATTTCCAAAATGATAAGTTCTTAATTTAGCAGAGGAAACAGAGAATAAGTAAATACCCAAATGAGATGATTCAAACAGTGATAAGAGCTATGAAGAAAATAAGAGATAATGTCTCCAAAGGGGTCTACTTATCAAGGGGTGGGGGTGCAAAGGGGTAGGATTAGATGGGGTGAAGGGCTCTCAGAGATGACTTTTGTTGAGAGCAGACATAAGGAAGGAACTAGCTATGCAAAGAGTTGGCAAGAGACAGTTCTAGGAAGAGGAAACCTCAAATGGCACAACCTTGAGATATGAATGAGCTGGAGCATTTGGGGAGCAGAAAGAGACATACTGTGGCAAGAGCCCAGTAAGTGAGGAGCCAAGCTGTGGGGAGTGTGGGTGGAGATAGACACAGGGCAGATTATATGGGGCCTTGGAATATTCCTTTTATGCCAAGTGCAGTGGACAGACCTTGGAGTGTTTTTATTTTGTATTTTTATTTTTATTTTATTTTATTTTTTTTGAGACGGAGTCTTGCTCTTGTTAGCTGGAGTGCAATGGTATGATCTCAGCTCACTGCAATCTCTGCCTCCTGGGTTCAAGCGATTCTCCTGCCTCAGCCTCCCAAGTAGCTGGGATTACAGGTGCGTGCCACCACGCCCAGCTAATTTTTTGTGTTTTTAGTAGAGACAGGGTTTCACCATGTTGATCAGGCTGGTCTCGAATACCTCAGGTGATCTGCTCATCTTGTCCTCCCAAAGTGCTGGGATTACAGGCGTGAACCACCGTACCTGGCTGCTATTGGAGTTTTAAGCAGGGAGTGGCATAATCAATTCTGAGAAATCTTAAAGAGGTAACATTCTCAGAATTAGGTAATTTCTAAAAATACATCTAAAGGAGAGAGTGGGGTGAAGACGTTCAAAGATTCAAAGGTGAGGGCCAGGCGTGATGGCTCACGCCTGTAATCCCAGCACTTTGGGAGGCCGAGGCAGGTGGATCACAAGGTCAGGAGTTTGAGACCAGCCTGACCAATATGGTGAAACCCCATCTCTACTAAAAATACAAGAAATACCCGGGCGTGGTGGTGGACGCCTGTGGTCCTAGCTACTCAGGAGGCTGAGGCAGGAAAATCGCTTGAACCCAGGAGGCAGAGGTTGCAGTGAGCTGAAATCATGTCACTGTACTCCAGTCTGGGCAACAGAGTGAGACTCTCTCTCTCAAAAAAAAAAAGAAAAAAAAAAAAAAAGATTCAATGGTGATGCTCAGGTTTTCAACTTAGCTAATTGGGTGGATATGGGTGCTACAGAAGGAGAAGGTTTTGCATGGAAGTTGATGTTTTATTTTAGACATGCTGAATCTGAGATTTCCATGGGGCATCTGATTGCAAACTGTGTGTGTGTGTTTCAGACAGGATCTTGTTCTGTCACCCAGACTAGAGTGCAGTGGTGCGATCTCGGCTCACTGCAATCTCTGCCTCCTAGGTTCAAGGGATCCTCCCACCTCAGCCTCCCTAGTAGCTGGGACTACCGATGTGTGCCACCATGCCCAGCTAATTTTTATATTTTCAGTAGAGATGGGGTTTCACCATGTTCGCCAGGCTGGTCTCGAACTCTTGACCTCAGGTGATCCTCCCACCTCAGCCTCCCAAAGTGCTGGGATTACAGGCATGAGCCACCATGCCCGGCCCAAATGTGTTTTTTGTTTTTTAAGATGGTATCTCACTCTGTTGCCCAGGCTGGAGTGCAGTGGTGTGATCATGGCTCACTGCAGCGTCAACCTACTAGACTCAGGTGATCCTCCCACCTTGGCCTCCTGGGTAGCTGGGACTACAGGTGTGTGCTACTAAGCCCAGCTGATTTTTTAAAAAAAAATTTTTGTAGAGATGGTGGGGTCTCACTGTGTTGCCCAGGCTGGTCTCAAACTCCTGAGCTCATGTCATCCTCCCACCTTGGCCTCCTAAAGTGTTGGGATTACAGGCGTGAGCCACTGTGCCCTGCTGCAGGTGGAAATGTTAAGTGAGAAATTGGATATATGTGTCTGAAGTTTTGGGGAAACATCTCGTTCAAGGATATAGATTAGAGATTCATCATCCTATAGGTCATTGTTAGAACGACAAGAGTGGCTAAAATTACACAGAGTGTGAAGCATGAGTGGGTTGAGGATGGGCTCTTGGGAAGACAAATATTTCAAGAGTGGATGAAGATAACAGTACCAACACAGGATATGTGGAAACAAATCAAAGGAATTGTCTGTGGACAAAAAAATGCAAAGGGCTTTCTCTACTCTCTCATTCAGCAATGATCAACACAGAAAACCACATTCGGTGACCAATTGTGGGTGCGCTTTTCCCCACACAAGTGAGCAATCAAGTTCTCCAGTGGACCGCAGCTGGATGGCTCCAATCCAGTTCAATTCTGACACTGTGTACCTGAGATAGTGTCAGATCCCACAGGTTGAGGGCTTGGTCCCACAAGACTGGCCCCACTTCCAATGTCAATCCCAAGCCCCTGGTTGTTCTGCCAGGGCTTCTGACTGCCTGTAAACCAGGGTTTCCACAATATTGTGTCAGGTTCGAATCAGCCTAGTTGTGCTAACTCTGACTTAGGAGCTGGGAGGTATCAGGATGACTCAGTGGCCAATTAAATGCTTTTGAATTCACGGTTTATTGTGAGGCTTTCACACATCAACAATCATGCAAATATATTCAACACACACACAAGCAGCAATAAGAGAGAGAGGGGACCAGCATGCTGAGGGATGAACAGGACAGGTCTGGATTTCCCTGGAAACGCCAACCAGCAGAGTGGGTGGGAGGCTGCTGCTTTTCTCCCCACAGCTTCTGGTGGCCACTGCCAATGGAGAAGAGGCCACAGAATTCTGAGGCAGAGCTTCTTCAGGCATCTTGGACATGGTCAGTTTCTTTGCTGTTTTGATGTCCCTCCTCAGGTATGTCCACGGTCAATATCACAGCTGCCTTTTGGCTTCCCTTTTTTTTTTTTTTTTTTGAAACAGAATGTTGCTCTGTCGCCAGGCTGGAGTGCAGTGTTGTGATCTTGGCTCACTGCAACCTCCGCCTCCTGGGTTCAAGTGATTCTCCTGCCTAGCCTCCCGAGTAGCTGGGACTACAGGTGCCTGGCACCATGTCCAGCTAATTTTTGTATTTTTAGTAGAGATGGGTTTTCACTACGTTGGCCAGGATGGTCTCCATCTCTTGACCTCGTGATCCGCCCGCCTCGGCCTCCCAGAGTGTTGGGATTACAGGCGTGAGCCACTGCACCTGATCTGGCTTCACTTTCTTGTTGGGTCTGGGGGGTGCCTGGCCAAGCAAGTGTTATCTTATCACCTCAGTTCACCATACATATGCTTATCACTTTGAGGGGTCAGCAATTTCCGATTTCACTCTGGGCTCTCACTTGTCACAAGTGAGTCCATTTTGAGACATGTTAAATCACATTATACTAATGTGTATAGTATAATTAGTATAATGTGATTTAACTATAATGTGTCAATGAAGAGTCTAACTGTAAAATAGTTGAAGAGATTTATTCTGAGCTAAATATGAGCAACCATAGCCCATGACACGGCCTCAGGAGGTCCTGAGAACATGTGCCCAAGGTAGTCAAGGTGCAGCTTGGTTTTATGCATTTTAGGGAGGCATGAGACATCAATCAAATACATTTAGGAAATACATTGGTTTGGTCTATTGGTTTGGTCTAGAAAGGCAAGACAACTCAAAGTGGGAACTTCCAGGCTATAGGTAAATGTAAACATTTTCTGCTTGGCAATTTGTTCAGTTTGTCTAAAGACCTTAGATCTATAGAAAGGAAATGCTCAGGTTAAGATAAAAGATTGCAAGACCAAGGTTCTTTTGAAGTCTTATTATCATGGCTGCCCTTAGAGACAGTAGATGACAAATGTTTCCTATTCAGATCTTTAAAAGGTACTAGACTTTTAGTTAATCTCTTTAGGATTGGGAGGGCCTGGAAGAAAAAGACCTAGCTATGTTAATAGAGATTCTATGTTAATAGAGATTCTTTACAGATGCAAATATTCCCCTACAAAGGACAGCTTTGTAGGGCCATTTCAAGATATGGCAAAGAAACATGTTTTGGGGTAAAATATTTTTATTTTCTTTCTTGTTTCATAATGTTATGCCAGAGTCAGGTTGGAAAGTAAGTCACAATATATAGGGTTAAATAAAACCCAAGTGATGAGAATTTATGGTTTGTATGGCATGACTTCCCAGACTCCTTAGATAGGAATTTGGGCAAGATAAAAAAAATCAGAACTTAGTCCTTAAATGTTCTATCACCTAACTTCCCCTTGGGTTTGATTTATTCACGAACTCAGGGAAACAGTTTACTGGTTCATTATAGAGGACATTACAGAATTTCAAGTCTTATTACTTAAGAAATACATTCATGACCGGTGCGGTGGCTCACGCTTGTAATCCTAGCACTTTGGGGCGCTGAGGCGGGTGGATCACCTGAAGTCAGGAGTTCAAGACCAGCCTGGCCAATGTGGTGAAACCCCGTCTCTACTAAAAATAAAAAAATTAGCCAGTCGTGGTGGCACATACCTGTAGTCCCAGCTACTCAGGAGGCTGAGGTAGGAAGAATTGCTTGAACCCAGGAGGTGGAGGTTGTAGTGAGCCGAGATTGCACCACTGCACTCCAGCCTGGGTGACAGAAGAGTGGAACTGTCTCCAAAAAAAATTAATAAATAAAGGATACTACAAAGGATACAGATGAAAAAATGCATAGAAAAACGTGCGGGGGAAGGTATGCGGAGCTTCCATCTCCTTCCCAGGCAGTCACCCTCCAGGAACCCCCAAGTGTTCAGTTACCTAGAGGCTTTCCAAACCTGGTCCTTTTGAGTTTTTATGGAAGCTTCATTACATGGACATGATTGATTAAATAATTGGCCATTAGTGATTAACTCAACTTTTAGCCACTCTCCCTCCCCAGAGGTCAGGAGGTAGAGTGAAAAATCCCAACCCTCTAATCATGCCTTGGTCATTCTGTGACCAGCTCCCATCCTGAAGCTACATAGGGGCTGCCAGCCATCAGTCAACATTAGCATACAAGAAGTCATCACTTTGGAGAGTCTAAGGATTTTAAGAATTGTATGCCGGGAAATGGGTGGAAGATCATATATATATTTCACAGTATCACAAATTGTTTTTATAATAAAGACTTAAATATGTCCACTAGATTTCATAGTGTGGAGGCATTGGTGACCTTGGGGAGACAAACTGATTCAGAAAGTGAATGTTGACTGCTTTCTGAGAAGGTTGGCAGAGAATGAAAGGAGACAAATTACAGTGAATAGTAAAAGGTCAATGGGTTTTTTTTTAGGGTGGGAGAGACTTGGGACTATTTATAGGCTAAAGAGAAAAAAATCAATAGAACAAAAAGATGGAATATTCAAGAGAAAAAGTGAAATTTGAAGGAGTGAGAGCTTGGAAGAAAAAATGAAGGGATTTGGAGCAGTTATCTTAAAATAGGAAGGATAGTTTATTCTCTTAGGATGAAATGAAGCAAGTAAAAGTGTGGATGTCCACATGTTTGAGTGCAAGATGATGAGTTGAAAACTGAGGGAATTTACTGTAGATGGTCCCAACTGTTTTATTCAATCTAGTTAGATAGTAAAATGTTGCCAGTCTGAGAGCTCATGTGTGTGTGCACACATGTATGTAGATGTATGTATGTATGTGATATTGTTTGGATCTGTGTCCCCACCCATAGCTCACGTTCAATTGTAATCCCCAGTGTTAGAAGTGGGGCCTAGTGGGAGGTGATTGGATCATGATGGTGCTCCTTCATGAATGGTTTATTGTCATCTTCTGGGTGTCATTCTCATGATAGTGAGTGAGTGAATTATTGTGAGATCAGGTTGTTTAAAAGTGTCCAGCACCTCCCTTGACCCTCTTACTACTGCTCCTGCCATGTTAGGTGCCTCGCTCCCCATTTGCCTTCTGCCATGAGTAAAAGCTCCCTGAGGCCTCCCCAGAAGCAGATGCCAGCATCATGCTTCCTGTACAGCCTGTGGAACCATGAGCCAATTAAACCTCTTTTCTTTATAAATTGGGCCAATTAAACCTTTTTTCTTTATAAATTACCCAGTCTTAGGCATTTCTTCATAGCAATGTGAGAACTGGCTAACACAGAATGTGTGTGTGTGTGTGTGTGTGTGTGTGTGTGTGTGTGTGTGGTGTGTACTTGCTTTCTTTTTTTTTTTGAGGCAGAGTTTCACTCTTGTTGCCCAGGCTGGAGTGCAATGGAGCAATCTCGGCTCACTGCAACCTCCATCTCCCAGGTTCAAGCGATTCTCCTGCCTCAGCCTCCCTAGTAGCTGGGATTACAGGCATGTGCCACCACGCCCAGCTAATTTTGTATTTTTAGTAGAGACAGGGTTTCTCCATGTTGGTCAGGCTGGTCTCGAACTCCCAGCCTCAGGTGATCCACCCGCCTCGGCCTCCCGAAGTGCTGGGATTACAGGCATGAGCCACCGCGCCTGGCGGTGTGTACTTGCTTTCTAAAAAACATTTTACTTTTTTACTGAGGTAAAATTTGTGTAAAAAAAATTATCATTTTTTAAGGGCAGGGGAAGGACCTTAAAAAAATAAATAGAATAAATAAAAATTACCATTTTAAAGTGAAGAATTCAGTGGAATTTAGTACTATAAATCAAAAGTAAAATTCTAAGCGCCTCCAACCATCTGAATGGACCCTCCTCTAGGCCAAGGACATTCCAAAGTTAAACTGAAAAGCTAGTTCAAGGCATGATGGGAAGGAGGAGTTGGACATGCCTCATTACCATTAACATCAACACAGACCTTAAGGCTGATAGACCAGACTTATTTAAAATGTATAATCCAGGGATCATGGCAGATGGAAGCCAGGACTAGATTGCAGCACCCACTCAGACAGACAGAGCAGCATGTGGAGGCTTGCATCACGAACTTTTGCTCCAGAATGACTGCAGGAATACATTAGGAAAGCCAAGAGAACCAGCAGACCCTCTGAAGGAAGTGGATTGCTCCTGCAGGACTTAGGAGATACCCCAAATACTATGAGTGCCCAAACTGTGGAAGCGAGAAAGGAAGATCATGCACCCCAGAACACATACCCCTGCACAAGAGAACCTGAAGGCTTAGATTATGGGAGAAGATTCTGACCTTACCTGGAGCTGAGTCAATTTAGAGAGCCGAGTGAAATACAGGGGTAGAGGAAGCAGCAGGAAAAGTCCTGTGGGCTTGTTGGGTTCCCTAGCAAGCCATTTCTGCCCTGCCTCACAGGGGCCCTTGGGAAGAGTGGCCAGAGGCACTGGGAAAAGGCCACAGGGAGAAGAAAATCTCCAGCTGAAATTTGCTAACAATATGAACTGATTGAGAAGCCCCCTGGCCAGAACTCAGGGGAGGACATGAATCCAGTGTGCGGACTCCACAGGCAGGTGAAGAATAAAAGCCCTAATTGCTTTCACAGCTGGAAAGTGGGTAGCCTGGGGCAAGTTCTCAGTCCTGTTCACCCACTGCCTGGAAACACACTTGGTGCTGTTACTGGGGGCACGGTGGGAGTGAGACTGGCCCTTTGGGTTGTGTGGGAGCTGGGTGAGGCCTATGACTGCTGGCTTTTCCCCACTTCCCTGACAAGTTGCATGACCCAGTAGAGGCAGCCATTATCCTCCTAGGAACATAACTGTTGATCTGGGAATCTCAACCTCATCCCCCACAGCAGCTGCAGCAAGACCGCTCAAGGAGAGTCTGAGGTCAGACACGCCTGCCACTGCCTCTACCTGATGGTCCTTCCCTACCTACCCTGGTAACTGAAGACAAAGGGCATATACTCTTGGGAGTTCAAGGGGGTGGTGGTGCCCCCCACCACCTGTTCCTCCCCATTCTACTACCGCTGATGCTCTTGAAATCACCACCTTCCGCAGGAGGACAACCAACCCAAAAATAGTGCATTAAGCAACCAAAGCCAAGGACCCTCACAGAGCCCATTTTACTCCCCCACCACCTCCACCAGAGCAGATGCTGGTATCAATGGCAGAAAGACTCACAGATGGTTCACATCAGAGGATTCTGTGCAGACAACCTCCAGTACCAGCCCAGAGCCTGGTAGACTTGCTGGGTTGCTAGATCCAGAAGAGAGATAACAATCTTTACAGCTTGGCTCTCAGGAAGCCACATCCCTAGGAAAAGGGGGAGAGTACTACATCAAGGGAACACTCCATGGGACAAAACAATTTGAACAACAGCCTTTGGCCTTAGACCTCTGTGACAAATGAGAAGAAACCAGAAAACCAACTCTGGCAATATGACAAAACAATGTTCTTCACCACCCAAGAAAAAATCACACTAGCCCACCAGCAATGGATTCCAACCAAGAAGAAGTCCCTGATTTACCTGAAAAAGAATTCAGGAGGTTAGTTGTTAAGCTAATCAGGGAGGCAACAGAGAAAGGTGAAGCCCAATCTAAGGAAATAAAAAAAAAAGATACAAGAAGTGATGGGAGAAATACTCAATGAAATAGATAGCATAAATAAAAAATCAAAATTTCAGGAAACAATAGACACACTTATAGAAATGCTAAATGTTCTGGAAAGTCTCAGCAATAGAATTCAACAAGCAGAAGAAAGAACTTCAGAGCTTGAAGACAAGTTCTTTGAATTAACCAAATCCAACAAAGACAAAGAAGAAAGAATAAGAAAAATTGAACAAAGCCTCCATGAGGTCTGGGTTCACGTTAAACTACCAACCCTAAGAATAATTGGCATTCCTGAGGAAGAAGAGGAACCTAGAAGTTTGGAAAACATATTTGGGAGAAAAATTGAGGAAAACTTCCCTAGCCTTGCTAGAGACCTAGGCATCCAAATACAAGAAGCACAAAGAACACCTGGGAAATTCATTGCACAAAGATCATCACCTAGACACATTGTCATCAGATTACCTAAAGTTAAGATGAAGGAAAGAATCTTAAGAACTGTGAGTCAAAAGCGCCAGGAAACCTATAAAGGAAAACCTATCAGATTAACAGCAGATTTCTCAGCAGAAATCCTACAAGCTAGAAGACATTGGGGACCTATCTTCAGCCTCCTCAAACAAAACAATTATCAGCCAAGAATTTGTATCCAGTGAAACTAATCTTCATAAATGAAGGAAAAATGGTATTTTTTAGACAAACAAATGCTGAAAGAATTCGCCACTACCAAGCCAGCACTACAAGAACAGCTAAAAGGAGCTCTAAATCTTGAAACAAATCCTGGAAACACATGAAAACAGAACCCCTTTAGAGCATAAATCTCATAGGACCTATAAAACAAAAAGGCAATATAAAAAAAAAACCCTCAAAAAACAAAAAAACCAAGGTATACAGGGAACAAATAGTATGATGAATGAAATGGTAACTCCCATCTCAATACTAATGTTGAATGTAAATGGCCTAAATGCTCCCCTTAAAAGATACAGAATTGCAGAATGGATAAGAACTCACCAACCATCTGCTGCCTTCAAG
Source organism: Homo sapiens (assembly GCF_000001405.40). Taxonomy (NCBI): domain Eukaryota; kingdom Metazoa; phylum Chordata; class Mammalia; order Primates; family Hominidae; genus Homo; species Homo sapiens. The sequence goes on from NT_187627.1 coordinate 103,173, forward strand.
AGACTCACCTAACACATAAGGACTCACATAAACTTAAAGGGATGGAAAAAGACATTCCATGCAAATGGACACCAAAAGTGAGCAAGAGTAGCTATTCCTATATCAGACAGAACAAACTTTAAAGCAACAGCAGTTAAAAAAGACAAAGAGGGACATTATATAAATGATAAAATGTCTTGTTCAACAGGAAAATATTACAATCCTAAATATATATGCACCTAACACTGGAAGTCCCTAATTTATAAAACAATTACTAATAGACTTAAGAAATGAGATAGCAACACAATAATAGTTGGGGACTTCAGTACTCCACTGACAGCACTAGACAGGTCATCAAGACAGAAATTCAACAAAGAAACAATCAGTGTAAACTATACCCTGGAACAAATGGATTTGACAGATTTATACAGAACATTCTACCCAACAACCACAGAATATACATTTTATTCAACAGCACATGGAACTTTCTCCAAGATAGACCATATAATAGGCCATAAAATGAGTCTCAATAAATTTAAGAAAAACACTCTCTCAGACCATAGTGGAATAAAACTAGAAATCAACTCCAAAAGGAACCACCTTCAAAACCATGCAAATACATGGAAATTAAATAACCTGTACCTGAATGATCATTGGGTCAAAAATGAAATCTAGATGGACATTAGAAAATTCTTCGAGCTGAATGGCAAGAGTGACGCAAATTATCAAAACCCCTGGGATACAGCAAAGTGGTGCTAAGAGGAAACTTCATAGCCATAAATGCCTCCATCAAGAAGTCCGAAAGAATACAATCTAAGGTCACACCTCAAGGAACTAAAGAAACAAGAACAAACCAAACCCAAACCTAGCAGAAGAAAGGAAATAACCAAGATCAGAACAGAACTAAATGAAATTGAAACAATCAATACAAAATATAAATAAAACAAAAAGCTGGTTCTTTGAAAAGATAAATAAAATTGATAGACCATTAGCAAGCAAAGACTCTATTTTTATGTCCAACTTTTATTTTAAGTTCAGGGGTACATGTGCAGGATGTGCAAATTTGTTACATAGTTAAATATGTGCCATGGTGATTAGCTGCACAGATCATCCCATCACCTAGGTATTAGCCTAGTGTTCCATTATTGGAACACTAAGCATGTGGGAGTTATTTATATCCTACTGCTCAAGGTCATTGCCAAGGTCTGATTGATTGCAAAAATTCAAAAAATTTCAACCTCAGGCATAAATGGGTTAAGCCCAGTACCCTTTACCTATTCTTCCTGATGCTCTCCCTCCCCCCCCTTCCCCCAACCCTCCAACAGGCCCCCGTGTGTGTTGTTTCCCCCATGTGTCCATGCGTTCTCATCATTCAGCTCCCACTTATAAGTGAGAATATGCAGTATTTGATTTTCTGTAGAACAGACTCTTCAAGTTGGGTAAGAAACAATCTATTCTCCCTGGAGCCTGCTACTTGAAGGTTTCACCTGCATAATGAAACCTTGGTCTCCACAACCTCTTATCATAATCCAGAAATTCCTTTCAATTGATTCCAGGTCTTTAGATAATAACCAATTGCCAATCAGAAAATCTTTGAATCTGGCTATGACCTGGAATCCCTCCCAACCGGCAACTGCCACTTCCAGTTGTACCGCCTTTTCAAATAGAGTCTTTGTACATCTTACATGTATTGATTGATGTCTTACATTTCCCTAAAACGTATAAAACAAGTTGTAGCCCAACCACCTTGGGCACATGTCATCAGGATCTCCTGAGGCTGTCCTTAGGACGGGCATGTCATGGGCATGTCCTTAATCTTGTCCTGAGGCATGTCATGGGCATGTCCTTAACCTTGGCAAAATAAACTTCTAAATTGATTGAGACTGTTTCAGATACTTTTTAGTTTACAGTACATTCCAAATTGCTGTGCAACTGCCACGTGTATTCAGTGCTAAAATATTTTCATCTTTAATTGGCTGTGGTAGCACATGCCTGTAGTTCTAGCTACTCAGGAGGATGAGGCAGCAGGATCACTTGAGCCCAGGATTTAGAGGCTGCAGTGAGCTATGATTGCACCACTGCACTCCAGCCCGGGTGACAGAGTGAGACCCCATCTCTAAAAACAAAACCCAAAAAACGCCACCACACACATTATTCTCATCCCCAAAGAAAAACCCATATCTTCCCTTCAGCTCCTAGAAGCCACTCATATATGTTCTGTCTTTATGGACTTATCTATTCTGATATTTTCTATAAATGGAGTCACATAATATATGACCTATTATGTCTGGTTTCCTTCACTTTGAATAGTTTCAAGGTTTACCTTCATTGCAGCATGTATCAGAACTGCATTCCTTTTTATGGCTGAATAATATATCCCATATTTGTTTATCTGTTCATTTGTTGATGGACATTTGAGCTGTTTCCCATATCATCTTAACTATTTTTAAGTGTATGCTACAGTAGTGTTAACTATATGCATATTGTTGTACAGCAGATCTCTAGAACCTTTTCATCTTGCAAAACTGAAAGTCTATACCCCATTGAGGAATGACTACTTATTTCCCCTTCCCTCCAGCCTCTAGTGACCACATTAACTTTCTGTTTCTATGAGTCTGACTACTTTAGATACCTTATATACATGGAATCATGCAGTATTTGTCTTTTTTTGTGACTGGCTTATTTCACTTAGCATAATGTCCTCAAGGTTCATGCACTTCTAGTATATGACAGGATTTCCTTCTTTTTAAAAACTGAATAATACTCCATTGTATGTATATACCACATTTTCTTTATCTAGTTAACTGTCAATGGATATTTAGGTTGTTTGCTCCCACCTCTTGGCTATCGTGAATATTATTGCAATTAATATGAGTGTGCATAATCTCTTCCAGATCCTGTTTTCAATTGTTTTGGGTAAATACCCAGGAGTAGGATTGCTGAATCACATAATAATTCTACTGTTAATGTTTTGAGAAATCTCCATACTGTTTTCTTTAGCAGCTGCACCATTTTACATTCCCACCATCAGTGCACAGGGTTTCCAATTTCTCCACACTCTCACCAGCATTTGTTATTTTCTAATTTTTGGATAATGGCCATTCTAATAGTTAGGAGGTGATATCTCACTGTGGTTTTTGATTTGCATTTCTCCAATGATTAGTGACATTGAGCATCTTTTCATTTGCTTGTTGGTCCTTTGTATATCTTCTTTAGAGAAATGTCTATTCAAGTCCTTTGCTCACTTTTAAATCACGTTTTTGTGTTTTTTTGATGTTGAGTTGTAGGAGTTCTTATATATTCTAGATATTAACCCCTTATCAGATATATCATTTGCAAATATTTTCTCCCATTCTTTTTTTTTTTCTTTTTCTCCCATTCTTCAGGATGCCTTTTTACTTTACTAGTTGTTTCCTTTGCTGCACAGGAGTTTTTAAATTTGATATAGTCCCATTTGTCTATTTTTCCTTTTATCACTTGGGGTTATCAGGTCATATCCAAGAAATCATTGCCAAATACATGATCACAAAGCTTCTGCCTTATGTTTTCTTATAGTTAGTCGTTTTATAGTTTCAGATCTTATGGTTAGGTGGTTAATCCATTTCGAATTGATTTTTATATATGTTATAGGGTATCCAACATTTTTCTTTTGCAATTGGATGTCTGGGTTTCCCACCAGCATTTGTTGAAGATACTACACTTCCCCCATTGTGTAGTCTTGGTGCCCTTGTCGAAGATCATTTGACCATACATGTGAGGGTTTATTTCTGGGCTCTCTATTCTGTTCCATTAATATATATGCTTGTCTTTATGCCAGAATTATACTGTTTTGATTAATGTGACTTTGTAATATATTTTGAAATTATAAAGTGTGAGGCCTTTAGCTTTGTTTGTTTGTTTCAGGATTGTTTTGGCTACTCAGAGTTCTTTGAGATTCCATATAAATTTTAGAATTTTTGTTCTATTTCTTAAAAAAATACCATTGGGATTTTGATAGGAACTGCATTGAATCCGTAGATAGCTTTAGGTAGTATAGACATTTTGACAATATTGTCTTCCAGTCCATGAACAGAAGATGCTTTTTTATTTGTGTCCTTTTAATTCTTTTCAGGAATATTTTGTAGTTTTCAGTGTACACGTCTTTTGTCTCCTTGGTCAAGTTTATTCCTTAGTACTTTTTTTTTTTTTTTGATGCTATTGTATACTCAGTCTTAGCCAAAAGGCCAAAAGGCCAAATCATCCTATTGTAAATAGGATGATTTTCTAAATTTCCTTTTCATATTGTTTATTGTTATTATATAGACATATAGCTGATTTTTTGTGTTAATTTTGTGTTCTGTAGCTTTTCCAAATTCGTTTATTATTTCTAACAGTTATTTTTAATCTTTAGTGTTTTCTACATATGGAATCATATCATCTTCAGAAAGAGATCATTCTATTCTTCCTTTCCAATTTGAATGCCTTTTATTTCTTTTTCTTCCTTATTCTGGCTGGGACTTGTAGGATTATGTTGAATAGAAGTGATAGTGGTCATCCTTACCTTGCTCCAGATCTTATCAAAAAAACTTTCAGCTTTTCACCATTCAGTATGATGTTAGCTGGGAGCTTTTTATATATGGCTTTTATAAAGTTCAGGTAATTTTCTTATATTCCTAGTTTATTAAGTGTTTTTATCATGGTTTTGAATTTTGTTGAAGGTTTTTTGTGCATCAATTAAGATGATCATGTGATTTTTTTTCATTTATTCTGATAATGTAGTGGTCACATTGATTGATTTTAATATGTTGAACTACCCTTGCATCCTAGAAATAAATCCCACTTGGCCGTGGTATGTGATTCTTTCAATGTGCTGTGCTGTTAAACTTGGTTTATTAGTATTCTGTTGAGGATTTCATTTGTGTTTTTGAGACCCAACACAGAAGGAGAGATGACAGGAACAGGATGAGAACTGGTTGGAGGAAGGATGGAGATTCTAGTCCTTGGGCGGCAGTTGGAGATGGCAGGTTTAGAAGAAGGAGCTGGAGAATTAGGAAAATAGCCAGTCAGAAACGATTGACAGTCAGGAAAAAGCTGCCAACTGGATCAAAACATTTGGTACAAAAACAAATCATACTAAGTCCAGGGGTGGTTTAGTAGTCAAAGAATCTTAAAGAGTCAGCAACTGTGGAGTTACTTTGTCACCAGGCCCTGTTGTAGCAGTCTGAGTTAATTCTGACATGTATCTGCAGGGAGGCTATGATTAAGTAACCTCCTTTCTCTGACTATGAAATGGGGTTAAGCAAGAGCTTGCAGTGGGAGATAATCATCAGAGACTTCAGATGCAGACAGCAGGAGATCCAGGGGCTGGGAAAGCCAGGCAGAGGTTCAGCACTCACTCTCAAAACCTCATAACTTTTCTCATTACTCACCTCACCCTCTTCTTCCTTCTACCACCCTCCACCTTTATCTTCCTTCCTTCTCCCTTCTCCTCCTCCTCTTCCTTCTCTCTTTCTTCCCCTCCCCCTCTTTCTCTTTCATCCTTTTTCTTCCTTCTTGCTGCTATTTTTCTTAAATCTTCATGGACACTGTGTACAGAAAATAGATAGGGAGGAACTAACATCATTTGTCTTTGCTACACTCTTGTTATCTTTATACTCTCAGTTCCCTGCAGATTCACATCCCCTCCCCAATATAGATCAATTGAGCTGAGAGGCTGCAACCAGACCGAAGTTTGTTGATTTTTAAAAATAATTTATATTGTATATATTAAAGGTAGACAACATGATGTTATAATATACATACAGATGGCAAAATGGTTAATATAGTAAAGCAAATCAACATATTCATTATCTCACTTAGTAACCTGCTTTTTAAAATGTGTTTTGTTTTTCTTGAGCAAAAGCAGCTAAAATCTATTAATTTAGCAAAAATGGTGAATACAATACAATATTATTAACTATTGTCCTCATATTTTATATTAGATCTCTAGGCTTGTTTATCCTCTATATCTGCCACTTTGTATCCTTTGACCTACATCTCCCCGTTTTCTCCTTTCTCAACTTTCAACCTCCACTTTCTATCCCTAGTAACCATTGTTTTATTCTCTATCGTATGTATTTGCCTTTTTTTTTAATTTCACAAAATAAATGAGATCATGCAATATTTGTCTTTCTGTGTCTGGCTTATTTTTTTTCTTTTCCAGCTTTGACTTTAGGCTGCACACAGCATGGAGACCTTGGGCCCGGCTATGAAACCACTTTTTCCTCCTAGGCCTCTGGGCCTGTGATGGGGGGGTTTGACATGAAGACCTCTTGAATGCCCTGGAAAAATTTTCCACATTGTCTTGGGGTTAACATTTGGCTTCTCATTTCTTATGCAACTGTTTGAATTTCTCCTCAGAAAATGGGATTTTCTTTTCTATTGCATTGTCAGTCAACAAATTTTTTGAACTTCTATGCTTTGCTTCCCTTATAAAACTGATTGCCTTTAACAGCACCCAAGTCACCTCTTGAATGCTTTTCTGCTTAGAAATTTCTTCCGCAAGATACCCGAAATCATCTCACTCCAGTTGAAAGTTCCACAAATCTCTAGGGCAGGGGCAAAATATCACCATTGTCTTTGGTAAAACATAACAAGAGTCACCTTTGCTCTGGTTCCCAACAAGCTCTTCATCTCCATCTGAGACCTCCTCAGCCTGGACTTTATTGTCCATATCGCTATCAGCATTTTGGGCAAAGCCATTCAACAAGTCTCTAGGAAGTTCCAAACTTTCCCATATTTTCCTGTCTTCTTCTGAACCCTCCAAACTCTTCCAACTTCTGCTTGTTACCCAGTTCCAAAGTCGCTTCCACATTTTCAGGTATCTTTTCAGCTACACCCCACTGTGGTACCAATTTACTGTATTAGTCCGTTTCCGTGGTGCTGATAAAGACATACCTTAGCCTGGGTAATCTATATAGGAAAAGGGGTTTAATGGACTTACATTTCCACATGGCTGGGGAGGCCTCACAATCATGGTGGAGGGCAAGGAGGAGCAAATCATATCTTATGTGGATGGCAGCAGGCAAAGGGAGAGCTGGTTCAGGGAAACTCTCATTTTTAAAACCATCAGATCTTGTGAGACTCATTCACTATCACTATAATTCAATCACCTCCACAGGGTTCCTCCAATGACACGTGGAAATTGTGGAAGTTACATATCCCATATAGCCAAATCATATCAGGCAGGATATGTTAACTGAACATTTACTCATGCTTTTGTACTTTCTTATATTCACTTTTTTGTTGTTGATAAAGTTTCCTTATATAAATATTCATCTTTCTTTGCCTTTGCCAGGGGAAGAGGAAAAAAGAAGGTTTTGGTTCATGTCTAGGCCTGGAGAGGGGAGCCATTTAGCACAAAAATTTAGTTAGCACTTAGCCTTAAGAGTAGCCTAGGAGAGAGGTGAGAATTCAGTGGGTGAGGGAGGTCTGGCCAGAGACCTCTTGAGCATTTCTTCCTGACCATCTAGAGTTGTCTAGGCACAAGCTCATCTTTGTGTATTGCTTTGAGAATTTGTGTTTGATGTGTCTTAGAGTGGTGAAAATACTTCCAATCGCACAGCTGGTGGGTGAGGTAGGATCAGGAGGAGGGGGAGAGGACTCTTAGATTTGATTTGCCAGTCTGTATGTTCTAGGAATCCCAAGAGGGAGCTTTGGATAAAGTTTCATATAGTAATCATTTATCAGGTATACTTGCATTCAGTGAGTTTGTTTACCTTAGATGAACTAAGTTGGCACCCCTTAACACCACCCCTGAATTCTGTCTAAAAAGATGCAATTTCACATCTTGGACAACTGTACTTGATGTGAACTCCTGACACACTGGTCAATTGAAACTATCTGCATGTAAAACAGCTTTGTTTTTCCTTGCCCTGTAATGGATCATATTAATACATAGTCCCGCTCAAGACCAAAACTCTTTAGGACCAGCCTAGTGTAATTCCTCTTGGCCAGCTCTGGAGAGGACTGGGCTATGAATCATGCACAAAAGCCTAAGTGAAATGAACATGGACATCTTCATTCCTGGGTAGTCTGAGTTTCCAGTCAGTTTATCTTCCCTGGGTTCAAGGCTCATTTATACTGGAGGTTGTGCTGGGTAGAGAAAAACACTGATGATGAACCTATTGCAACAATTTGGTTGACCTGGGAGGTAGACTGGCCCATGATAAATTAGGATGACCTTTAGATTCTTACAGGCAATTGATAATGATGTTTACATTCCAGAAAAGGCCTAAAAGGTTATCTTCCAGACCTTCTTAAAAAGTGTTGACTGAATTTGAGGAAATCTCTAAGAGACTTCTGAGCAGCTACAATAGTCAGGTGGTCAAATAACACACCAATCTCAAACATAATAAAAGCTTCTCTGCCCTTTGAAGCAGAATTTGGAGTGTTCTGGTAAAACAACTTTCTCAATGCTCTCTGTCATATCTTGTTTTCTTTTTAACATCTCTTAATTTTATGTCTTTCTTTTCTCAATTCTCAGATTGCCAAAGAGAATATTTGAGATCTCATAGACTATTTTTTTTGAGACAGGGACTTGCTCTGTCACCCAGACTAGAGTGCAGTGGCATGATCTCAGCTCACTGCAACGTCCACCTCCTGGGTTCAAGCAGTTTCCTGCCTCATCCTCCCAAGTAGCTGGGACTACAGGCACAAGATGCCCAGCTAATTATTGTATTTTTAGTAGAGACATGTTTCACCATGTTGGCCAGGCTGGTCTCGAACTCCTGATTTCAAGTGATCCACCTGCCTTAGCCTCCCAAAGTGCTGGGATTATAGATGTGAGCCACCGTGCCTGGCCTCATAGACTACCCTCAACAACAAATGTGGATACCCATATTTTCTAGGGGATGATGGTTGGGAGGGATATAATCAAGGATATTTATCCTAATCATTACAGGTTCTGGCTAAGAGCCTTTACTAGAGTAATTCCTCAGTTTCAGATCAAAATTTTAAACTAATTATTGGCGTTGCTTTTTGGATATTGGAATGGCATTCCCCTATGAGCTTCCTAGGGCTACCATAACAAAATACCACAAAACTGGGTGGCTTAAAGCAACAAAAATTTATTCTTTCATGGTTCTAGAGGTTGGAAGTCTGAAATCCAGGTGTTAGTAGGATTGGTTCATTCTGGAGGATGTGAGAAAGAATTTGCTCTATGCCTGTCTTTTAGCTTCTGGTAGCTTCTGGCAATCCTTGGCGTTCATGACTTATAGACACATCACTTCAATCTCTGCCTCCAACTTCACATGGCCATCTCCATTTATGTGTGTCTTCAGGGAGTGTCTTCAACTCCCTTTCCCCTTATGAGGACATCAATCATAAGATTTAGGGCCTATTGAAGTTTATAGCATTGAATGCCTACACAAAACACACACAAAAATAGACAGATCACAAATTAACAACCTAATGTCACATCTCAAGCAACTAGAAAAACAAGAACAAACCAAACCCAAAGCTAGCAGAAGAAAAGAAATAACAACGATCAGAGGAGAACTAAATGAAATTGAGACCAAAAACAAAACCCAGTGGATCAATGAAACAAAAAGTTTGTTCTTTGAAAAGATGAAATTGATAACCACTAGCTAGACTAAGAAAAAAAGAAGAGGGCAGATCCAAATAAACACAATCAGAAATAAAAAAGAAGATATTACCGCTGAGACCACAGAAATACAAAAGATCATCAGAGATTTATAAACAACTGTATGCTCACAAACTAGAAAACCTAAAGAAATTGGATAAATTCCTGGAACATACAACCTTCTAGGATTGAACTGGGAAGAAATAGAAATTATGAACAGACCAATAATGAGTAGTGAGATCAGTAATGAAAAACCCTCCCAGCAACAATAAAAAAAGACCAGGACTGAATGGATTCACAGGCGAATTCTACCAAATGTACAAAGAAGAACTGGTACCCATCCTCCAGAAACTGTTCTAAAAAATCAAGGAGGAGGAAGTTATCTCTAACTCATTCTTTTTAATTTTTTTTTTCTTTTCCTTGAGATAGAATCTCACTCTCCTCCTGGGTTCAAGCAATTCTCATGCCTCTGCCGCCCAAATAGCTGGGATTACAGGTATGTGCCACCATGCCCGGCTAATTTTTGCATTTTTTTTCTTTGGAAGAGACAGGGTTTCGCCATGTTGTCCAAGCTAGTCTTGAACTCCTGGCCTCAAGTGATCCCCCTGCCTCGGCCTCCCAAAGTTCTGGGATTATTTAAGTGAGCTACCATGCCTGGCCCAATTCCCTAACTCATTCTATGAGGCCAGGATCACCCTGATACTAAGGCCAGACAAGGACACAACAACAAAAGAACCTACAGACCAATATCCCTGATGAACGTAGATGGAAAAGTCCTCAACAAAATACTAGCAAACCCAACCCAACAATATATAAAAAAGATAATACACCATGATGAAGCGAGTTTTATTCCAGGGGTACAAAGACAGTTCAACACACATAATCAATAAATGTGATTCATCACATAAACAGAATTAAGGATGAAAACCAGATGATTACCTCAATAGATGCAAAAAAAAGCATTTGATAAAATTCAAAATCCCTTCATAATAAAAACACTTGACAAACTAGACACAGAAGGAGTATACCTCAAAATAATAAAGGCAGTGTATGACAAACCTACAACCAATATTATACTAAATGGGGAGAAGTTGAAAGCATTCCCCCTAAGAACTGGAAGAAGACAAGTATGCACACTTTTACCTCTCTTATATATCATAATACTGGAAGCCTTGGCCAGAGACATAAGGCAAAAAAAAAAAAAAAAAAAAAAAAAAGAAGACATTTTTTGGAAAAGAAGTCAAATTATTTCTGTTCACTGATGATATGATCTTATATCTAGAACATCCACAAGACTCCACCAATATCTCTTACACTTGGTAAATGAATTCAGTAAGTATATTGGTCCATTCTCATGCTACTATAAAGGACTACCTGGCTGGGCGCGGTGGCTCACGCCTGTAATCCCAGCACTTTGGGAGGCCGAGGCGGGTGGATCACGAGGTCAGGAGATCGAAACCATCCTGGCTGACACGGTGAAACCCCGTCTCTACTGAAAAATACAAAAAAATCAGCTGGGCGTGGTGGCGGGCGCCTGTAGTTCCAGCTACTCCGGAGGCTGAGGAGATTGGCTTGAACCTGGGAGGCGGAGCTTGCAGTGAGCTGAGACCACGCCACTGCACTCCGGCCTGGGCGACAGAGCAAGATTCCCTCTCAAAAAAAAAAAAAAAAAGGACTACCCAAGATTCGGTAATTTATAAAGGGAAGAGGTTTAATTGACTCACAGTTCGGTATGGCTGTGGAGGCCTCAGGAAACTTACATTCATGGCAGAAGGGGAGGCAAACACAACCTTCTTCACATGATGGCAGGAAGGAGAAGTGCCAAGCACAAGGGGGAAAAGCCCCTGATAAAACCATCAGATCTCATGAGAACTCACTCACTATCACAAGAACAGCAGCATGGGGGTAACCACACCCATGATTCAATTACCTCCCACCAAGTCCCTCTCACAATGCGTGGGGATTATGGGAACTACAATTCAAGATGTGATTTAGGTGGGGACACAGCCAAACCATATCAGTAAGGTTTCAGGATACAAAATCAATGTGCACAAATCACTAGTATTTCTATATACCAATTATGATCATGCTGACAACCAAATTAAGAAGGCAATCACATTTACAGTAGCTACAAAAAAATAAAATACCTAGGAATATATTTAACTGAGGAGGTGAAATATTTCTTTTTTTTTTTTTTTTTTTTAAATTTATTTTTTTATTGATAATTCTTGGGTGTTTCTCACAGAGGGGGATTTGGCAGGGTCATGGGACAATAGTGGAGGGAAGGTCAGCAGATAAACAAGTGAACAAAGGTCTCTGGTTTTCCTAGGCAGAGGACCCTGCGGCCTTCCGCAGTGTTTGTGTCCCTGATTACTTGAGATTAGGGAGTGGTGATGACTCTTAACGAGCATGCTGCCTTCAAGCATCTGTTTAACAAAGCACATCTTGCACCGCCCTTAATCCATTTAACCCTGAGTGGACACAGCACATGTTTCAGAGAGCACAGGGTTGGGGGTAAGGTCACAGATCAACAGGATCCCAAGGCAGAGGAATTTTTCTTAGTGCAGAACAAAATGAAAAGTCTCCCATGTCTACTTCTTTCTACACAGACACGGCAACCATCCGATTTCTCAATCTTTTCCCCACCTTTCCCGCCTTTCTATTCCACAAAGCCGCCATTGTCATCCTGGCCCGTTCTCAATGAGCTGTTGGGCACACCTCCCAGACGGGGTGGTGGCCGGGCAGAGGGGCTCCTCACTTCCCAGTAGGGGCGGCCGGGCAGAGGCGCCCCTCACCTCCCGGATGGGGCTGCTGGCCGGGCAGGGGGGCTGACACCCCCCACCTCCCTCCCGGACGGGGCGGCTGGCCGGGCGGGGGGCTGACCCCCCCACCTCCCTCCCGGACGGGGCGGCTGGCCGGGCAGAGGGGCTCCTCACTTCCCAGTAGGGGCAGCCGGGCAGAGGTGCCCCTCACCTCCCGGACGGGGTGGCTGGCCGGGCAGGGGGGCTGAACCCCCCCCACCTCCCTCCCGGACGGGCGGCTGGCCGGGCGGGGGGCTGACCCCCACCGCCTCCCTCCCGGACGGGGCGGCTGGCCGGGCAGAGGGGCTCCTCACTTCCCAGTAGGGGCGGCCGGGCAGAGGTGCCCCTCACCTCCCGGACGGGGCGGCTGGCCGGGCAGGGGGGCTGACCCCCCACCCACCTCCCTCCCGGACGGGGCGGCTGGCCGGGCGGGGGGCCGACCCCCCCCACCTCCCTCCCGGACGGGGCGGCTGGCCGGGCGGGGGGCCGACCCCCCAACCTCCCTCCCGGACGGGGCGGCTGGCCGGGCAGAGGGGCTCGTCACTTCCCAGTAGGGGCGGCCGGGCAGAGGCGCCCCTCACCTCCCAGACGGGGCGGCTGGCCGGGCGGAGGGCTGACCCCCCCACCTCCCTCCCGGACGGGGCGGCTGGCCAGGCGGGGGGCTGACCCCCCCCACCTCCCTCCCGGACGGGGCGACTGGCCGGGTGGGGGGGCTGACCCCCCCCATCTCCCTCCCGGACGGGGTGGCTGGCCGGGCTGAGGGGCTCCTCACTTCCCAGTAGGGGCAGCCGGGCAGAGGCACCCCTCACCTCCCGGATGGGGCGGCTGGCCAGGCGGGGGCTGACCCCCCCACCTCCCTCCCGGACGGCACGGCTGGCCAGGCGGGGGGCTGACCCCCCCACCTCCCTCCCGGATGGGGCGGCTGCCGGGCGGAGACGCTCCTCACTTCCCAGATGGGGTGGCTGCCGGGCGGAGAGGCTCCTCACTTCTCAGACGGGGCAGCTGCCGGGCGGAGGGGCTCCTCACTTCTCAGACGGGGTGGTTGCCAGGCAGAGGGTCTCCTCACTTCTCAGACGGGGTCTCGGCCGGGCAGAGGCGCTCCTCACATCCCAGATGGGGCGGCGGGGCAGAGGCACTCCCCACATCTCAGATGATGGGCGGCCGGGCAGAGACGCTCCTCACTTCCTAGATGTGATGGCGGCTGGGAAGAGGCGCTCCTCACTTCCTAGATGGGATGGCGGCCGGGCGGAGACGCTCCTCACTTTCCAGACTGGGCAGCCAGGCAGAGGGGCTCCTCACATCCCAGACGATGGGCGGCCAGGCAGAGACACTCCTCACTTCCCAGACGGGGTGGCGGCCGGGCAGAGGCTGCAATCTCGGCACTTTGGGAGGCCAAGGCAGGCGGCTGCTCCTTGCCCTCGGGCCCCGCGGGGCCCGTCCGCTCCTCCAGCCGCTGCCTCCCGGGCGGCCGAGGTGAAATATTTCTACAAGGAAAACTACAAAATATTGATGAAAGAAATTGTAGACGACACAAGCAAATGGAAAACTATCTTATTTAATGGATCAGAAGAATTAGTATCATTAAAATGACCATAATGCCCAAAACAATCTACAGATTTAATGCAATTTCCATCAAAATGCCAACATCGAGTTTCACAGAATTGGGGAAAAAAATCTTAAAATTTATATGGAACCAAAAAAAATCCCAAATAGTGAAAGCAATCCTAAGCAAAAAGAACGAAGCTGGAGGCATCACATTAACTGACTTCAAGCTACACAACAAAGCTACAAAAACACCATGGTACTGATACAAAAATAGACACATAGACAAGTGGAACAGAATAGAGAAGGCAGAAATAAAGCAGCATACCTATAACCAATTGATCTTCAACAAAGTCAACAAAAACAAGCTAATGGAAAAAGGATCCCTATTCAATAAATGATGCTGGGAAAACTGGCTAGCCATATGCAGAAGAGTGAAACAGGACCCCTATCTCTCATCATAAACAAAAAGCAACTCGAGATGAATCAAAGACATAAATGTAAGACTTGAAACTATAAAAATATTAGAAGAAAACCTAGGAAAAACTCTTCTGGACATTAGTCTAGGTAAAGAATTCATTACTAAGACCTCAAAAGCACAAGCAACAACAACAAAAATAGAAAAATGGGACTTAATTAACCTAAAAAGCTGCTGCACAGCAAAATAAATAATCAACAGAATGAACAATCTTCAGAATGGGAGAAAATATTCACAAACTATGTATCCAACAGGGGACTAATATCCAAAATTTACAAGGAATTCACATGACTCAAGAACAACAAAAAATCCAAGTAATCCCATTAAAAAGTGGGCAAAAACCATAAAAAGACATGTCTTCTCGAAAGAAGGCATACAAATGGCTAACAAACATATGAAAGAATGCTCATTATATCACTAATCTCAGAAAAATGCGAATTAAAACCACAATGAGATATCATCTCACACCAATAGGAATAACTATTATTAAAAAGTAAAAAAAAAAAAAAAAAAAGATGTTGGTGAAAACGTGAAGAAAAGGGAATGCTTATACACTTCTGGTGGCAATATAAATTAGTATAACAATTATGGAAAATAGTATGAAGAATTCGCAAAGAACTAAAAATAGAACTACCATTTGATCCAGCAATCACACTACTGGATGTATAACCAAAGGTAAAGAAATAATTATATCAAAAGATACCTACACTCATACTTATCTTAGCACTGTTCACAATAACATATGAAATCAACCTAAGTGTCCATCAGTCGATAATTAGATAAAGAAAATGTGGTATATACACCCAGCGTAATACTATTCAGTCATAAAAAGAATGAAATCATGTCTCTTGCAGCAGCAAGGATGGAACTGGAGGCCATTATCCTAAGTGAAGCAATTCACAAATAGAAAGTCAAGGCCGGGCACGGTGGTTCACCCATGTAATCCCAGAACTTTGGGAGGCTGAGGCAGGAGGATCATGAGGTCAGGAGTTCGAGACCAGCCTGGCCAATATGGCGAAACCCCATCTCTACTAAAAATACAAAAAAAAAAAAAAATTAGCTGCACGTGGTGGCAGGCACCTGTAATCCTAGCTACTCAGGAGGCTGAGGGAGGAGAATTGCTTGAACCCGGGAGGCAGAGGTTACAGTGAGCCAAGACTGTGCCATTGCACTCCAGCCTGGGCAACAGAGTGAGACTCCATCTCAAAAAAAAAAAGGTCAAATACCAAATGTTCTCAGTTATAAGTGGGAGCTAAATAGTATGTATACATGGACATGGAGTGTGGAACAATAGACATTGGAGACTTGGAATGGTGGGGCGTGGTGGTGACAGATGAGAAATTACTTATGTACATTATTCAAGTGATGGCTATATTAAAAGCCCAGACTTCAATACTATGTAATATATTCACGTAACAAAACTGCACTTATACCCCTTAAATTTATAAAAAGAAAAAAATTAGGGCCTACCCTAGTCGAATATGACCTCATCATAACTTGATTACATCTATTGTCTGTTATGTTTCGAAATAAGGTCACATTCACACGTACCAGGGATTAGGACTTCAACATATGTTTTTGGGAGGCCCACTTCAACTCATAGTAGTCCCCATCAACAATTCCAAAGCCCAAATCATGATCTCACCCTTAAAACTCTGCGTCAAACTTTCCATTCAGTTCATTCATTCATTTATTCAGCATTGCTAGGCTTAATTGTTGGTGCCAAAATAAGACAGTGAAAATCAAGAAAAACCATGAAAATCATTTGTGCAAGTCTGAAAGCATTTTATATGTTATCACATCCGCCCATTCCCAAATCCAAACAATTATCAAGTCTTGCTGACTTCATTTTTTGAATACGTCTCACATCCATTCCTTTTTTTTTTTTTTTTCCAATTCCACCTCTACCTTCATCTCTGGAGTCCAAATTCTCATATTCTCCTGCCTGGACATCTGTAATAGCCTTCTAAATGCGAATCACATTTAATTCTCATTCTGTCTAATGAGTTACTACTCTAAGGTTAGATTTCCTCCTACAACCTCCCTCCCTGCCCAGACTTAAAACACTTCAATGATTTTCCAATATTTTTAGAGTAAAGCCAAACTTGAGTTGGGCACAGTGGCACGTGCCTGTAGTCCCAACTACTTGTGAGGCTGAGTCAGGAGCATATTTTGAGCCCATTCACTTAAGCCCAGGAGTGTCAGGCCATCCTGGGCAACATAACTCATCTCTTTAAAAAAAAGAATAAAGCCAAACTCCTCAACATGGCTGATGAAACTCTGGGTGGTGGACTTTACCCACTTGTCTAGCCTCGGCTCACACCATACCCCACCCCTCACTTCCTCAGCTCCAACCACATTGGTCTTCTTTCAGTCTCTCAAATTTTAAAATGTGTACAGATTGCTAGGGAATCTTGTTAAAATGCAGATTCTGGTTAAGTCAATCTGGAATTGTGCCTGAGAGTCTGCGTTTCTGATTAGCTCCCACGTGGTACAAAGGTTGATGGTCCAAAACTCTGTTTGAATCCGAAGGTTTGCCAGTTTCCGTGCTCCCTTGGCATATGCTTTTGCACATGTTCCTGGCTTTCCTCAACACTCTTTCCTCCTCTCTTCACTTGAACCCATTGTTCAGATCTCAATTATTATCTCTTCTCGTGGAAGTCTTCTCTGACCTTCCTGACTAGGCCAAATCCCCCCAATCCCAGTGCGAAGTCTCAGGGACTCTGTCTCTCCTTAGCACTTAGCATAGTTGAGTTCTATGTTTTCTGTGCACATTTTTAAAATCATATATTTGTCTCCCCCAAGACCATTGGCTCCATGATGGAGTGTCTGTTTCTGATTGCCATCGCATCCCCAGAATCCACATAGCATGGGGTTTTCAGATGAGACACTTAATAAATATTTGTTGAGGCACTTGGATCTCTCAGGTCGCCCACTTGGCCCTCTTCCAATTGTACGTTAATTCCTGCCACTTGTGGTAAAAGCTTTTTTTTTTTTTTTTGAGACGGGGTCTCGCTCTGTCGCCCGGGCTGGAGTGCAGTGGCGCCATCTCGGCTCACTGCAAGCTCCGCCTCTTCGGTTCACGCCATTCTCCTGCCTCAGCCTCCCGAGTAGCTGGGACTACAGGCTCCCGTCACCATTCACTCCTGCTCTAAAATTTGCCTTGGTCACTTCCTCTGTTTTATGCCCCTCTGCCGAATTCTTTCCTCTTAGGAGGCAAGAATCAAGTTTGTTGCAGACTCTTTGGATTCGCTGCTGCCACATGACTTGGATACGTTCCGTAGTGGTAAGACACCTCTATCCCTTGCCTTCTTTGGCTGGAGGCATTTCACCCCTGTGTGTGGTTTCCTTAAAAATGAATGGATGGATGAATAAATAAATAAATAAATAAATATTTGTTGAATGAATGAATCAGTGGTACCGAGTTCTTAACAGCCTTTTCTTTTACTAACAGGGTAAAAGGATGATTTAATTAAGTTGCCCTGTGGATGTTTAGACTCTCTATAAGAAAATGGCTTTGGTTTCCCCAGACTGTTCAGCAGAGATTCTGCTGCTTCTATTCTGGGTTGCTTCTGATGTTGTTAACAACCTTTGCACACACTCTGGGTTTGTTTCTGCCTTGTGGCTGCTGAGCTCAGATGGTGACCTGGGGTTAATAAAATCATGTCTCTGCAAGCAAGAGAGAGCCTCTCTGGTTATTTCAAATAGCGGGGGCTTGATTGTAAGGTTGTATGTGGAAATTAGGTAGATGGGATCTTAGCTGGGTAGGCAGTCCACTCAGACAACAGAGCACTACAAGGTTGCCTGGAGTTAAATGCAGCTCTTGAGGCAGCTCTTGTCACTGTGTCAATATCGCAAGTTGATTGCTCTCTGGTGTCTGGCTCCACCACTAAGACAGCTCAGCTGTTCTTCCTGTCCCTGGATTACTTGGAGTATCCTTCAATTTCTGTTTTTGCCACTGCTTGTTCTCTCCCAATATGAAGTGCTCGTTCACAGTTTCCATCACTTTCTGGTTTCTGTGGCATCACTGCATCTGCTGGCTGCCTTCTTAGCTTTTACTCCCTGGTGTCTGCTGCTCGTATTCTCCATATACCTTGCATTCAAATTTTATTGCTTTGTTTAATCACAGTGTAGTCTTTTTCTGATTCTTACGCCACAAGCCTAGGCCACTAACAGGCCCATATCATCATATTTGCTGCCTATGAGCTTGATGCTCTCCTGGTCCAAGCAGGTCTGAGAAGGACAGTATGCTTACATGCAGCAGCGTGCTGGAGATCCCCAAGAGATGATTGTTAAATATTTAGGAAATTGATGAGCCCAGTTAAACAGCTGGTAGCTTGAAATCAGCCAAAGTAGGAAAATTTACACCACAGAAATTGGCAAAGGATATATATGTCGGGGCCCCATTTTTCCCTACAGAGCCAGTTTCCCAACACATGAATAGAATAAAAAACAAGGCTCCACTCCAAGGAAGCATTCAGAGCCATTTCCCTTGGTTATGTGGTTGCTATTCCAAGGCTTCCCTAATGGGGCAGTATGATCAGCAAGTCCCTTACATGGCTAGTTCAGTCTAACATGGTCACTCCCAGGACTTCCAAAGTAGACACAGACACCTTTCATTGCTGTTGCTACCCAATTGCTGCTATACTTATGTTTTAGAATGAGTTTCTTGGGAAACAAAGTCTGAGATGAGAATTTGTGTGCAGAATCTTATTAGGGAGTACTCTTGGGTTCAACTCTTAGAGGGGAGTGGAGGTACGATTATACAAAGGGAGGAGTTCAGCTGTGATGCAGTCACCAAAAAAGACATCAGGCAATTCCATCAGGAGGACCAGCCGTTAGATGAGGGCTGAGGGCTGCCTGTCGGAGCAGCTCTCTTCAGAATAGAGTGAGTCCCAGGGAGAAACTCTGGGCGGAGAACCATCAGCCACCAACACTCCCAGTGCCTGGGGGAATGAGCGTCTCAGTTTTGAAGGGGAATCTGTACGGCTCATGCATATTCACTTATATGAAGGGAAAAAAGCGTAAGAGTTATTAAAGTTTCTTTAGAACATATTAAAGTTGTTTTCATTAAGTTCTTGAGCAGGAAAACTTTGATAATTTGACAACAAATCTCTAAGGGTTGTAATTCTACTTCTATATCTTTCTGTTTTTCTGAGCCCTCATCTCCTGAAAACATGGTGACCCCAGTTTCCTCACCAGGAGGATCAGAGGACAAAATCACTGACATTTCATAGTATCACACTTACCTATCTTAATCTTCCGTGCTTAACTCTGCCCTTCTCTCCACTCAGGGCATTCCTGTCTCCAGCATTAGGTGTAACAGACTCAGGATTACATAGTGCTTATGCTGCAGACTTTTTCCCTTTACCTTCACATCCCTCCATCCTGGCATTGGTTTTAATGTTTCTCACCCCTCCCTTTCTGGCAGGCCTCTTGTACTTTTTTGTAGGTTGACTTGCCAAATTACAGATTTGGTCCTTCCAAGAAGTGTGACCTTGGAGAAACCTTGGCAGATATGGCACTTTAAGGATGGTTACAAGTTCTTTGACTTTCTTTCCATCAGGAGATTGGATGGGGGTGGGACGTCTATGGCCTTTTGCCTTGAAAATGTGTGGCTCAGTGACTGCTTTAACAGTAGAAAATGGCGGAAATAATATTGTACTACCTGTTGAGCTCAGCCTTTAAGAAATTAGCAGGTTCTATTCTGGTTCTTAGAAAACTTTCTTTAAGAGCCCTAAGCCATGTGAGAAATGCAACTACCTGAGGCCTCATGCCAGAGAGGCCAGCATGGGTGCTCTGGTCCATGGCCCCAGCTGAGCCCAGCCTGCCAGTCATCCCTGCCAGTGTGCCAGACACGGGCATGAAGCCGCATTGGATCCTCCGCACAACATATCTGCCAGCCAAATACCTGAGCAACCTCAATCAATGCCGCATGGAGTGGAAAAATCACCCAGGTGAGTCCTGCCTGAATTCCTGATACACAAGATCTTAAGATATAATAAAACAAGTCCCGCTTTAAGCTGCTAACATTTGAATTGATCTATTACACAGCAATAAATCATGGAAACATCAGGTACATAGCATTCTAAATCACTGACCAAGATGATGCTGGTATTTTTTTTCTTTTTCTTTTTCTGTTTTTTTTTTTTTTTTTTTTTTTGGAGACAAAGTCGTGTTTTGTCACCCAGGTTGGAGTGGCATAATCACGACTCACTGCCTCAACTTCCCAGGTTCAAGTGATCCTCCCACCTCAGCCTCCTAAGTAGCTGAGACTACAGGCACGCACCACTACACCCGGCTAATTTTTGTATGTTTTTGTAGAGACAGCGTTTCACCATGTTTCCCAGGCTGGTCTTGATCTCCTGAACTCAAGTGATCCACCTGCCTTGGCCTCCCAACGTGGTGGTATTTTCTTCATAATTGTTTAATGAATGCTGCAACTAAGTGTCCCAAAATGTATTGCCAATTTAAATATGTAGTTCAAACTTCACTGAGAAACTAAGAGGCTAAGTTCTCTTTCTGTTATCTGCCTGGACATAAAGACGTATGTTTGGAGATGGCAGCCTTTTTTTCTGTTAGATGAGTAGATATGGAGAGTGCCAGGCACTCTTCTTTGTGTTTTCTCCCCTCTTTTCCCTTTCCCTTGGATTATAGTCCTTTTGATCCAACTTATATATAACCTTATAGAAACGAATAGAGGGTTAAAAGCTGTGGTGTTTGGGGCCTCCTTCCCTCCTTTCAGAACACAGTGTAATCCTAGGACTTACGCCATTTACCCTTTGGGAGATGTATCTCTCCACAAGGACAGAGGGTTAGATTTTCAATTCTTGGGGACAATAAGTTTATTCATTTGAAGCAAAGCTCCAAAAATCTGACCTTGCTAAGAAGATGCTATTATCCGATCTCCTTCCACTGGGGAGAAATCACTTTTCAATAAAAAATTTCTATTGTTTTTACAAAGAGAGAATATAATTTTTACTAAATTACAATGAACATGATGTAGACTTTATAGAAGGAAATAGGATTGAGAAATTATCCCTAAATGAAATCAGACAATGCACAAAGAGAACATAACTTGTGCATACAGAGGCTTTGTTCCTGTGAGCCTTGCTATTGTAAAATCTCACGTAGTCAAAGAAGCAAAGATACTTCAAGCAGAATCCTGAGAATTCTTGTAATTTGCTTTCTAATTCTGCATTCCCTGCCCTTCCCTGGTGTGCTTTTAGGTAAGCATGGAGAAGATGAATGAACACGCAGGGAAATAGAACAGAAATGTTAACTACACTGTTCACAAGAGTAACTCAATCACACTTTCTTATGTGCATTAGAATTATAGAGATGAAGAGGGATTTCATTCCAATCCCTCTTTTACTCATTAGGTAAAAGGAGGCACAGAGAATTTAAATGACTTGTTCAGAATCACATAGCCAGTTTTTGTTACATTGGGATTAGAAAACCAGCAATTGTTTGTACTATGACTACATCAACTCCTACTTTAATAACAATATTTATCCTTTCCAGAGTATTTGTTGACCTCTATCTAATATAGGGTACTGTGCCAGTCATTGGTTATGAGGAGCTGAATAAGACAGAGACAGCCCTGGCATCATGGAACTTACTCAAAGCAATCTGGTGGGACAGTAAAAAATGGTACTATTCAATGCGGTATGGTGCTCATAAGATGACAATCAAATTAAACTTTTCTTAGCATAGTCTTACTTATTGAACTGATGGGACAGCCAGCATAGTTTCCTTTAGGATACTCTGATTCCCTAACATTCTAAGGGGAGAAAATTTACTCTTGGATCCTGCTTTTATTAAAGAAGTTAGAGATTAAGTTTACAGACTTTTTTCTGTTACTTTGCGGCAAGATCTGTCCTTGTTCTCACAGAAGCCTGGAGGCTGGTTAGTCACTCTCAGTTCTTCCTGCTAAGGTTGAGTCCTATAAACGCTTGTTAGTCTAATTTAGTTGTCAAGGAGGGCCACTTTTTACCCAGCCTCTTTTGGTTTAAACTCTTTGTCAAGCAGAACTGATTGAAACAAATAGAAAGGAAGACAAGTTGCTATTTTAATATAGAACATTTTGGTTTGTTAGAATTAGTATCTGGAAAAAGATTCCAGAGCAACAGAAAGATGCGACTCAGTTATACTTCCTGCATAAACATCTAAGCAGCAACAATTGAGTAAGAAACACATGTAAAGACAAGATGGGATGGGAATGTATTAGGATAAGCCACATGGAATTCCCTATATGCAACAATTTTGACCTACAAAAATGGCAGTGTTCTTTAATTCAAATATGTTCTATTGCATGTATCAAAATCAGTTCGATTTAGTAAATGTTCACGTTTATTTCTGAGCAAGGGCCTTGGGTAATTTTATCTCTGCATGACTCAGTTTCCTTATTTGAAAAGTTGGTATAATAGATGTTGTTTATTTATTTATTTACTGTTAAAACCAATTCGGCCAGGCGCGGTGGCTCACGCCTGTAATCCCACCACTTTGGGAGGCCGAGGCAGGTGGATCCCGAGGTCAGGAGATCGAGACCATCCTGGCTAACACGGAGAAACCCCGTCTCTACTAAAAATACAAAAAAATTAGCCGGGGGTAGTGGCGGGCACCTGTAGTCCCAGCTACTTGGGAGGCTGAGGCAGGAGAATGGCGTGAACCCGGGAAGCGGAGCTGGCAGTGAGCCGAGACGGCGCCACTGCACTCCAGCCTGGAATTCCAACAAACTTAAATGTGGCAGTGAGAACCGCTTAGGAGATACATGTGGCCTTCTGAAATATGCTGAGTGGGGAACACTGAGCTGTATCACCGCTGTGCTATAGTTGATTCACTTATTTGGTCCTGTGGGTGCAATCTGCTGTTCTGAACACTAGCCCTTGTACCGTTGTCAATATCTTTGCTGGCCCAGTTCCCCGTTATGTATCGTGCTGGCTGAAATTTTATCTACCCTTTAAAGTTGATTCCAAATACTACCTGCTCCATAAAACCTTTCTTAAGTCCACCCCCTGCCAGCCTTGCATGTTGTTTTGAAGTTGGATAACATATTGCAGCAGGCAAAGTAGAAATAGCAATGGGCTGGGGACCACACCAAGCTCCAGTTCTGTGCAAACCAATAGCATCGGAGCATGTATACTCATAATCAGTTTTTGTTGAATGGCTGCATGACTGACTAAATGGATGAATCGGTTGCCTTGGACGAGAAACTTTTGGAGCCTTAATATCTTTATCTGTGGAATAAGGTCATTATAAAGAACTTCCTTTCCCTAAAAGTGGTCCTTGAAATACCTGGTTCTTGTTTAATGGTGAGTCTCATCCTTCTATCGGAACCAGAATCACTGGGGGCCTGAGAATCTGTGTTTAACATATACCGTTGGTGATCATTATACTCAATAAAATTGGAAAAGCATTGAACTGGTGGTTATCTGTTCAATCAAAGCAATGTGATGGCAGTTGCAAATGTATGACCTTGTTTATAAAGATGAGAAATTCCTTTTTTTTTTTTTTTTTTTGAGATGTTGTCTCACTGTTTTGCCCAGGCTGGAATGCAGTGGTGCAATCTCAGCTCACTGCAACCTCTGCCTCCCAGGTTCAAGTGATTCTCCTGCCTTACCCTCCCGAGTAGCTGGGATTATAGGTGTGTGCCACCATGCCCAGCTAATTTTTGTATTTTTAGTAGAGACGAGGTTTCATCATGTTGGCCAGGCTGGTCTCGAACTCCTGACCGCAAGTGATCCGCTCACCTTGGCCTCCCAAAGAGCTGGGATTCCAGGCGTGAGCCACCACACCCAACCAGAGAAATTCTTTTTGTTAAAGGAACGTGGAAGAAATCTCCTGGTTGAAAAAACATGTAAGTAGTGGGAAAAACCTGAAATACTCCAGGAATATTAGGATTGTCTCCAGGTAGAGTTAAGTTGGGGCAGAGTGAGAATGACACATATGAATATCATTAATTATTCACATATCCTTCCCCTTTACAGTCAATGATTATGCATTAATTACCTGGTCATCTGGCTAAGCCAAGCACTGAG
Organism: Homo sapiens; assembly: GCF_000001405.40. Classification (NCBI taxonomy): domain Eukaryota; kingdom Metazoa; phylum Chordata; class Mammalia; order Primates; family Hominidae; genus Homo; species Homo sapiens. The sequence goes on from NT_187627.1 coordinate 127,614, forward strand.
GATAAAGGAATGATTTTTGCCATAACCTTTTTATGTAGATGTGGCCTTTATTATTATTCATCCTTGATGATGTCAGCCCCAGAACCAGGAACAGAAGCCCTCGGATGTAATTGAGTCCTATTTCCAAAATACTCCACTGTCCCACTGTCTTCTTACAGAGTCTGGAACTATGAATTGGAACTTCTTGCCTGCCTGCCTGCCTGCCTGCCTGCTTTCTTTCCTCCCTCCCTCCCTCCCTCCCTCCCTCCCTCCCTCCCTCCCTCCCTCCCTTCCTTCCTTCCTTCCTTCCTTCCTTCCTTCCTCCCTTTCTTTCTTTCTTTTTTTCTGATGGGGTCTTGCTCTGTTGCCTAGGCTGGAGTGCAGTGGTGTGATCATAGCTCATTGTAGCCTTGACCTTCTGGGCTCAAGAGATCCTCCCAGCCCACCCTCCCAAGTAGCTAGAGCTATAGGTGCATGCCACCATACCAGCTAGCTACGTATTGTTTAATTGGGATCTATGGATTCTGTTTTCCATAGGAACAACTCTCTGAATTTTATAAATGAGATCGGTGGGGAAGAATGAGATTTTCTTTATAGGGTTTTTTTTTTTTAAGCTATCTTTGCTGTAATGTACCAAATCTAAGGGAGGATTACAAGTTATGTTACAGGTTTTTGGACTGAAAATCTTCTAAAGATAATAAGTCACCAGCCATGAAGACTTTATTCCTTCCCAAATCAGTATTCAACTTCAGACGAATTTTCTAGTCATCAAAGAAAGAGTGGACTTGCTGTGTTTCTGATTAATTTTCAGTGGCTTTCTTGTTAGAAAAACTAGCTTCTATTTCTGACTGTATCACTGAGCCACCGTGTGACCTTAAGTATGTTAAAACGCTTTGGGATATCTTGGTTTCACATTCTGTAAAGTGGAGATAAAACATATTGCATACATCTTTCAGAAACAACATGAGGATTAATGAGATAATGTTATTAGGCATATTAAAGTCACTCAACTTTTTTCATACTTAGATTTCTAAATCATTTCCTAATACTAAAATAGGGTCAGGTATTAAAATAGAAAGCAAACGACTATGGAGGATTAAGATTATAGTGAGCTGTCATAGTTATTTCCCAAAAAGAATGAACAGATGACAAATAGGATTATGAAGCTTCTATATATAAATCCTATATATAAATCTTTCATTTTACTTTAATTCTATGTTTCACTAATACTTTGGAAGAGAGAATCTTTTAGAGTTCAAGGAATCTTGATCCATATGCCAGGCTGTCTGCTTAATTTAAAAATTACCGAAAGGAACTAAAACCTTACATTGTCAATAATAATTTGCTTTACTGGGTAATGAGGGTGTTATCCCTAAGCAAGCATTCAGCCCAGAGCCCAGCCGCTGGTAGAGTGTTATCTCTGGGACAACTCAGTCCTTGCTGGAGGAAACCCATGAACCAAAATTCAGAGGGGCTATCCATCACTGCTGGCCCATCCATCATGCTGTTGCTCCACCTTGAACAGGGAATTTGCCTGCCATGAATTTCATCATTGGCTGTATTTCCTAAGTCGAGGCTGGTAATCAGACAGGGTCACCCTGCAATCCCTTCTGGTGAGTGAGGCATCACGCGGCTGCATTTCTCTTCTGGATTGATGGCATTTCCCAGCATCTGGAGGTTTTAAAGGTATGAAAAGCAGCTTAGAAAAGGCCAAGGGAGCAGCTCTGCTAGCACATACGTGGACACAAACAATAGGAATTGGAGATTGGGTGGGAGGAGAGGGGCTGGAGGGTGGAAAAAAGAGGGAAGAGGAAAAGCAGAAAATAAAAAGAAAAAATATAAGTCAGGTGGGAGGAAGGAGATCACAGAATTCTACATAAAAGTAGGGATAAAGGCCAGGCACGGTGGCTTGTGCCTGTAATCTCAGCACTCTGGGGCCAAGGGGGGGATCACGAGGTCAGGAGATCGAGATTATTCTGGCCAACGTGGTGAAACCCTGTCTCTACTAAAAATACAAAAATTAGCCTGGTGGCAGTGGCACGTGCCTGTAATCCCAGCTACTCAGGAGGCTGAGGCAGGAGAATCGCTTGAACCCGGGAAGCAGAGGTTGCAGTGAGCCGAGATCACGCCACTGCACTCCAGCCTGGGCAACAGAGCAAGACTCTGTCTCAAAAAAAAAAAAAAAAAAAAAAAAAAAAGTGGGGATAAAAGGAAAACAGCACAGATGGTGTGATAAACCAGAAAGTTACAGAAAGTTACTTACGTTTATATTTACTGAGATGATAGGTTTGGGAGGTGGCAAGTCGACCTGTACCTATTTTCTCAAGAGTGTTTCATTTTCAAGCTGTTTACTTATATGCACCCCATTGGAGCCTTTCCATAAGATAGGCCAATATTATCCCTTTTTCATATGTTAAAATAAAAGAGGCCGGGCGCGATGGCTCACGCCTGTAATCCCAGCACTTTGGGAGGCCGATACGGGCGGATCACGAGGTCAGGAGATGGAGACCATCCTGGCTAACACGGTGAAACCCCGTCTCTACTAAAAAATACAAAAAATGAGCCTAGCGTGGTGGCGGGCGCCTGTAGTCCCAGCTACTCAGGAGGCTGAGGCAGGAGAATGGCGTGAACCCGGGAGGCTGGAGCTTGCAGTGAGCCGAGATCGCGCCACTGTACTCCAGCCTGGGCAACAGAGTGAGACTCCGTCTCAAACAAAAAAAAAAAAAAAAGAGAGAGAGAGAGAGAAAAAGCTTAAGCTTGTAAATTTGATGCAATCCCATTTGTCTGTTTCTGCTTTTGTTGCCTCTGTGTATCCAATAAATCATTGCCCAGATCAATGTGATGGAGCTTTTCCCTTATGTTTCCTTCCAGTAGCTTTATAGTTTCAGGTCTTATGTTTAAGTCTTTAATCCATTCTGAGTTGATTTTTGTATGTGGTGTAAGACAAGGGTCCAATTTCATTTTTCTGCATATGAGTGTCCAGTTTTCTCAACGTCATTTATTGAAGAGACTATCCTTTTTCCATTGGGTGTTCTTGGCACCTTTGTTGAAAATCAGTTGACTATAAATGCATGGGTTTATTTCTGTGCTCTCTGTCCTGTTCCATTGGTCAATGTGTCTATTTTTATGTCAGTACCATGCTGTTTTCAGTAGCACAGGATCCAGCTAAGACTCTGGGAGGAGCCCTAAGAATGTGATTACATCATCACATATTGTTGTAAACTTTACAAGAGAAACTACAATCTTCAGACTGGTGCAATCTCTTTCCTTTCTGACTTCCCCTTCATCATGGTTCACCTCATGCTGGGTGACATTGGTCATTTTTGGCAATTGGCTGAGGGAAGTTGAGTTGCGGATGCATTTAGACAGAGCAGAATACATTTGGGGGCTTCTGGTCACTTCCATGTATGGTTAAGTTGTGGCTAGTTGTTCCGAGGTGGGAGTAATTCCCAGATGTGTCTCATGGAATCTGGTTCTGTTAGCAGAAGAGAAAGAAAGCTTGGAATGGAGGGCATTAGAAACTAGTTTGGGGAAAATTTTTCCGGTCATCAAATGTGCAAAATTGCAAGCAAAGAATTCGCTTGTTTTTGAAGCCTCATTAAAGTGGAGCTTCCCTTTTGCAGCACATTGTAATGATAAGTACCCCATTTTTCCTTTTTTGATGGGGATCCGACAAAACAGAATTTACTATAATTCTTGTGTTTATAAAGTAAAACGAGTCATAGAAATACAAGTACATCTAAATGTGAAGTTACTTTTTAAAAATAAATCCCAACTATAATATTAGAAAAGCAATTTCAGTCAGTCATATTAAAACTAATTTTTTAACTCCTTTTAGAAAATATGAAACTGTTACCATATAAATATATCAATGAATATGTAGCAAAAAATGTAACGTGAAAAGTATTATGTCAGGCAGAATAAAAACATCTTATTTTTCAGAATTTCTTGGTATCTGTGGCTTTTATCAACTTCTAACTTTTTTTATTTTTAAATATTTTATTTATTTATTTATTTATTTATTTATTTATTTATTTATTTATTTATCTTGAGACCGGGTCTCACTCTGACACCCAGGCAGGGGTGCAGTGGCATGATCTTGGCTCACTGCAGCCTTGATCTCGGGGGCTCGAGTGATTTCCCACCTCAGCCTCCTGAGTAGCTGGGGCTATAGGCCCATCACCACCACATCTGGCTAATTTTTTTTTTTTTTTTTTTTTGAGATGGAGTCTTGCTCTGTCACCCAGGCTGGAGTGCAGTGGTGCAATCTCGGCTCACTGCAAGCTCCGCCTCTTGGGTTCACGCCATTCTCCTGCCTCAGCCTCCCGAGTACTGAGACTATGGGTGCCCACCACCACGCCCAGCTAATTTTTTTGTGTTTTTAGTAGAGACAGGGTTTCTCCGTGTTAGCCAGAATGGTCTCCATCTCCTGACCTCGTGATCCGCCCACCTCCACCTCCCAAAGTGCTAGGATTACAGGCGTGAGCCACCGCGCCCGGCCACACCTGGCTAATTTTTTGTATTTAATTTTTTAATTGCTCTGATTTTATTTATCATATAAGTATTTCCCTTTATACTTAATTTTAGATTAATAATTGGGTATTTTTCTTAAAGAGGGTCTCTAAATCATGTATAATCTTTAGTTCCTACAAAACCTGGATTGAATCTTGAAAAGATCAGATAGATAGTTTTTCTAAGGTCACATAGCAATTGACAAAAGAAGCCAACAGAGCACAGAGCAGCTGTGCTATCTTTGGCCTTCTGCCCAGTACCTTAGTCTTTCTCTAGCTTTAAGAGAAATGTTAAACACAGTGCCACACTGGATATGCATTCCAGAAGGTATTCACGTATTTAAATTGATGTCACAAAATACATGAACATCAGAAGGATGTGACCCAGAAAGAAATGATTAATAATTCAATATTTTTATTAAACGGCAAATTTAGTTATAGGAAGATATTAAGTAAAATAAAAAATTAGCAGCATTTACTGTTTGTTTTACTTTTATATGTAGATGAGTAGAGTACAAATGTATATTCAACAGGCAAGAGGCATAGCATCAAACCTGAAATCAGAAGGTCTTGATTAAAGCCTCCCTTCCACTTCTAAGATGCCTGGAAATATGGTAGATTTGGTTAATTGTCCCCATAATTATCTCTCTTTTTCTTCTTGAGTTGTAGCCCCCCAGCTGGACTACATTCCCCAGCCTTCTCTAGGTTAGGAGTAGCCATGTGGCTAAGTTTGGTTAATGGGTTGCAAATTAAAATGATGTAGGCAATTGTGTACAATGTCCTTAACTATAAGACCCTGCTTCCTAATCTTTCCTCTTCTCTCTGGGCTGGCGTGCAGATGTGGTGGATCCTGTTTTTGCCTAATGACATGGGCAAACCCAAGAACAGCAAGATAGCAGCCTGGGCCCTCAATTTCATGACATCTTTTGACTGTTTCAGGAGAGAAAAATAAGGAATAATTTTTTTTGAGCTATTGCATTTTCGAAATCTTCTTGTAAAAATAGCTTAGCTTGTGCCCTAACCAACACAGTGAAATATGGGCAAGTCACCACCTCTCAAAACTTCCATTTCCTCACGTGTAAAATAAGGGCGATAATATCAAGCCTGGCAACACATGTAGCTGTTCTGAGTATTAAATAAAATCATATAGATCAGAGACGAATACATTGCGTAATATAAAATGTTATTTTATATTTTAGTATTGCAGCTGCCAGAGGGGAGAAAATAAGATGAAGGTTTTATTTCTTATTTTGTACATAAACATTTTATTTTAGAATAAGCTAAGATTAATAGAGAATTAGCAAAATAAGTAGTGAGTTTCTGTATACCCCTCAATCAGTTTCTCTAATGTTAACCATTTACATTCTCATGACAGATTTGTCAAAACTAAAACCCAGCATTGGTACTTTACTACGCTTAGGTTATTTGGATGTCACTAGTTTTTCCATGAATGTCCTTTTTCTCTTCCAGGATCCAATGCAGGAGATAATATTGCATTTGTTGCCATTTCTTTTAGTCTGTTCTGTTCCGAATACTTTCTCAGTCTTTCTTTATTTGTCATGATCTTGACAAATTCAGGGAGTACTGGCCAGGTATTTTGTAGAAGGTTTCTCTGTTTGAGTTTGTGTTTTCATGATTAGATTGGGGTGATCGAGGTGGGGGGATGTGTATTAGTCTGTTCTCACATTGCTGTAAAGAAATACCTGAGACTGGGTAATTTATAAAGAAAAGAGGTTTAATTGGCTCGTGGTTCTGCAGACCGTCTGGGAAGCATGGCAGCTTCTGCTTCTGGGGAGGCTTCTGGAAGATTCCTGTCATGGCAGAAGGCAAAGGGGAGCCAGCGCTTCACATGGCCAGAGCAGGAGGAAGAGAGAGGAGGGAGGTGCCACACACTTTTCAACAAGCAGATCTCACTATTGCAATGACAGCTCCAAGGGGAATGGCGATAAACCATGAGAAACTGCCCCCATGAGCTAATCACCTCTCACCAGGCCCCACCTCCAGCATTGGGGATTACATTTCAACATGAGGTTTGGACGGGGACACAGTTCCAACCCATACTGGGGGAGGATTTTATTTTTAATGAAAAGGGTAATTCGGAATAAAAATGCAGTGTGTGTGAGAGAATAAACCTCGTTTTTCAATTTGATTGCCTTATCAACTCTAATTGCTGTTCTAGGTAGTGTGCCCCTCTTGTAGAGTAGAATTGCTTACTCAAGTTCCATGAGGTACCTTTGAGAATCACCACAATGCATTCAGCCTCCTGTTTTTGTCCTGGTACCTCTGGAGAAGACTGAGCTGCTCTCTGCTGCTTCCTTGTCACAGTCATTCTGGAAAGATGTCTAAAAAGCACTGGGTTGTGAATCTGGAACTTGATAACAGGTAGACCAGTGTCTAGTCCAGTTGAACAGAAAAGAGTATATTTTAGAAAAACTGTCCATTGACAGCTTCGTACCACAGTGAACTGATCAGCAAATCCTCAACACATTGGGACGGTTTTATTGTTATTGTTTTGTTTTTTTTAGAGTGAGGGAGGGAGGTTAGAAGGAAGGGCGAGAGGGAAAGAGGAACAGAGGACAATTAAAGCAAATGTGAATTATAGATGAGAAAAGAGATGGGACTTGGTGAATTTAGAATCTTAAGGAAAACTCTAGGTGAAGAGGGAGACTAAAATCTTTTCTTGGATGCTGACCTATAGTTTGACTCCCCAGATACAATAAGGAGAAAGCAGTATTTTGATTGGGACAGGAATTAACCTATTTCTTTCTATATTTACTTTTCAAGTTGAGCAAGATCTGGGAAAGGGCCTGCTAGCATATTTTGTTTTTACTATTTCAAACAAAGATATCCATCTTGAATGGCATTAGACTTTCAAAAAAATTTAGTGTGTTATTTCTTTCTGGCTATCCAAGGTCTTGATTATACAAAATTCCCATCAGAACACCCACACACTCTCTCTCTCTCTCTCCTATACTTAAGAAAAAAATCTAAATAGAGAAGACTATGACTGAAGAGAGCTTAATTTTGATTAAATTTCGGGGTCCATTCTTTCAAGAGCTCTTTCAGCTAAATGCTCAAATCCAATCTGTGGGTAGCTCTCAGTATCTGTCTTTCTTTGAAGGTCCGGCTCTGCAAATCTTGTCCTGGCCTCCAAAGACAACATCTCAGAGGCCACTTGGTGTATTTCAACTTAATCTTTGTCCACACACTCCTTTCTCTACACTTGGCTTTCCTCTGACCATATATCTTTATACTGACCATTATTTCTCTACTTCTCAATAATCCCCCTGCCCAACTCTCTCTTCCTTCAGCCTCACAGCCCAGTCTTCACCACACTCTGCTGAACCTTCTTTTTTTTTTGAGACAGAGTCTTGCTCAATCGCCCAGGCTGGAGTGCAGTGGCACGATCTCCGCTCACTGCAAGCTCCGCCTCCCGGGTTCACGCCATTCTCCTGCCTCAGCCTCCCGAGTAGCTGGGACTACAGGCGCCCGCCACCACGCCCGGCTAATTTTTTTGTATTTTTAGTAGAGACGGGGTTTCACTGTGTTAGCCAGGATGGCCTCGATCTCCTGACCTCGTGATCCACCCTCCTCAGCCTCCCAAAGTGCTGGGATTACAGGCGTGAGCCACCGCGCCCGGCCTGAACCTTCTTAAATGCATGTCTGTTCCATCCATTTCTTTCTATCTCTATTGGCAGGGTCTGGTACAAGCCACTACTGCTTTTCTCCTGGACTAATTCATAATCTCCAACAAAGCTAGAGTGTTATTTCTGAGACATAATTCTCTTTGTATCAGTTCTACATGCTTTAAGCTTTTCATTGGCTTCATTTTTCTTTCCTTGAGGGCAGTCAAAATTCTGGAGAAAATTGCTGATAATAGATGTAGCCCTGTTAGATCTGGTTCACCCTTATTTTCCCGGTCAGAGCTCGTTGCATTCCCTCCTGCTGTCCTTATTCGCCATCTCTCCAGCTGCTTTTCCCCCTTGTCCTTCCCATCTCTCTCCACCACTGACACTGTAGTCACTCGTTTTAGTCCCTGGAGGATTCCCTGGTTTTGCTTTCTCTTCTCAAGGCTTTCAGTCAACACTCTCCAAATCCCCCTCCTTTTCCTCCTTTAGGATACTATGCTCTCGTTCAACCCCCAGGAAAATCTTCCTGACCTCCTCTTCTACTAATTTAGGTTGGTTTTCTCCACTGTGTGTCCATAGAACTCTAACTTTCCCTTTAGTAAATCATCCTTTTTTGTGATTGTTCATGCGCTTGTTTGTATTTCTCTTGGTATTTAACTCCTTGTTAAATAGTTTGTAAATAAATTTCTTAACCATTTCAAAGATGTACACATCCTAGAACCTCTCATGAACCACATTACAGAGGAACAGAAGATTCATTTGAGTTATGAAATATGGCAAGTAAATGGTGGAAGGATCTATTACCTGTTGTTGTTGTTTTTGATACGGGGTCTCTCTCTGTTATCCAGGCTGGAGTGCAGTGGTGTGATCATGGCTCACTGAAGCCTCCAACTCATGAAGTGATTCTCTCACTTCAGCTTCCTGAATAGCTAGTACTATAGGTGTACACCACCAGGCCCAGTTAGTTTTTAATGCTTTGTAGAGATTGGGTCTCACTATGTTGCCCAAGCTGGTCTTGAATTCCTAGATCAAGTGATCCCCATCTCAGCCTCCCAAAGTGCTGGGACTATAGGCATGAGCCACTGCGTTTGGCCCTGGTTTTCCTTCTTAGTGCACAAGTTTTCTTTTACTACATACATATTATTGATGACTGCTCCATATTGCACTGTAAAATAGCTGCAACCTATAGGAAAATGTAGCAGTTTCTTTTTGATAGTATACTCGGAATTTAATTTTCTCTATTCCTCTTACCTACCCTAAGCGAGGGCCCATAGTAGAAGGCACTGGATGTTGTAGTTTAACAAGTTATGATACTTATGTAGAGAATTAAGCATGCCTGGGATTACTCACAGAAAAATGACTGGCTGTAACCGACAACCTCGATTTTGTTATATGCCTGCAGAAGTAGTTATATTCTTTTTTTTTTTTTTTTTTTTTTTGAGACAGAGTCTCACACTGTCACCCAGGCTGGAGTGTAGTGGTGCGATCTTGGCTCACTGCAACCTCCACCTCCTGGGTCCAAGCGTTTCACCTGCCTCAACCTCCTGAGTAGCTGGGACTACAGGGGCGTGCCACCACACCCAGCTAATTTTTGTATTTTTAGTAGAGATGGCGTTTCACAATGTTGGCCAGGTTGGTCTCGATCTCTTGACCTCGTGATCCACCCGCCTTGGCCTCCCAAAGTGCTGGGATTACAGGCATGAGCCACCAGTGCCTGGCCAGTAATATTCTTAAATTGATATCCAAATGCAGTTAACTGTAACAACTGTGAGAAGGGTTGCATGCTTCCAGAACGATGAATTATACATGAAGAGAAAAGTACAATTGTCAATTTTGGTAGAAATTTTAAAAAGATTTAGAATCTCTGATTTAGATGTGATAAAGGTTTCTTCTAAACACTTGACTCTTATGTTGAAGCCTTCAGTGTGTCTACACTTAACATTTCTATTCCTTTGCCTTCCATTTTCGTGAATGTTGATATGTTTGATTATGAGTCTCTCCCCTTTGAAAACATTATGTATTTTCCCTTGACAATTTCTAGAGGAATAGTCTTCATTTTAAGTTATAAAACTGGTTTTAAGTTTAATCTTGACAAATTTCCTTTTGGAGCTAGAAATCTAGATGTTGTTCTTTGGAAGCTATTGAATATAATTAACACATTTCTGTCATCTCTACATATATCTACTCACATTTAGAGATAAAGTGCAATTATACCTATTTATAGTGTTATGTAACTAGGAGCCCGAGTTTTATCCCAACTGAACATAGTGTATTGTGGAAAAACGCATAAGAATGTTTCTGTGTTTTTATCACGGCTATGATTGACTTGCTCTGACAGTCTATCCTCCTAATAAATGCAATATTACTGCTAAAATGTCCCCATTCGGCAGAAATGCATAAACAAGGAAGGGAAGTAATGTAATTTTAGTTTATATTTACCTTTGACTTGTGGTTCCCAGTTTTGGATGGCGGCCACAAAAAGCCAAGCAAATTCCCAGGACGCCAGGCCACAAGGCAGTTTCCGGCAACAGCAAGTGATTGCAGCTTTCTTAGAACTTTGCAAATATAACTTCTTCATAACAAGTATTTAAAGGCAAATAGAGTTACATTCTCTTGCTTATGAACACCTATCTTATAAACATCTGTTAAAAGAAAAGCTTTAGACAAATTAAATGTAACAGCATTTAATTGAGCAAAGAACTATTTGTGCGTCGGGCAATCCTCAGAACCAGAACAGGTTCTGAAAGACTCCTGAGGCTGCCACATGGCTGGTTAATGTTTACAGGCAAAAAAAAAGGTAATTGAAGAACAGAAGATGGAAGGAGGGATACAGACGGCTCAGCCAGTTAAAGCTTGGTATTTGCCTGTTGAACCTGGTTTGAATAGCTGGCCACCTGTGATTGACTGAAGCTCTGCTGCCGTGATTGGCCGAGACTCAGCTATTTGTTACAAAGGCAAATTCCTAAGTCAGGTTTTCAGTTGGTTTCCCTATTAAGTTAAGTTGCAGGTTGTCATGTAGGGCTCATATGGAGACTTCTAAAGCTTAAATTTAGTTTGATTTAACATATCTCTTATGTGCACTTTCCTGTTGCTGCTGCCATGGTGCTCCCCTCCCTCCCTGGTGTTGGGGACTTTCTTATTCTGTTGGTCCAGCTGACAAAATCCTGTGGCTGTTCATACCCTTCACACATGCCTGCCACCTCCCCCTTTCCTAGTGCCACTGCTGGCGCTAATTGGTCTTGTCACCCCTCTTTTCTTGATGCTGGAGCAGAGTTGAGTTTCATAACTCTGGGCTTATGGACATTCCAGATAGAGCATGAACTGGAACTCTAAACGTGTTTTCCTTTGGGAATTCACATGGTAAACCACCTTATTCATTGTGGAGGGTTGAATGGGTTTTTTCCTCTGCCTTAGAACTAAATCGTCACATGATAATGGTTGTGTGGAAAGTGTGTTAAACACTGACTTAGGAAGGTTGGATAGTAATTTGTGAAAAACTGGAATTGCCTGGGCCTCCAGCACTATTCATATTTATGTAGTATCTATATTAATATAGTAACAAAATGGATTATGATTTTAAGAAATGTATCAGTTTTGAAACAAGCAAAACTACTATTGTATGAGTAGTGTAGGGGCAGAAAGATGTGATCCCTTTTTTTTTAAATCAATTATAAGGGTAACAATCAACAGTCCTATAACAAAAACAGGTTTACAAGAGAAAAGCATAACAAATTTATTTAACCCAAGTTTTATGTGACACAGGACACTTCAGAAATGATGACTCATTGAGCTGGGGAAAATGGCCTACTTTTATGCTTAGGTTTGATGAAGAATGGACAGCCACGTAGAAATGTGATTGAACAAAAAGAGTACATCTAGTGGTAATAGACTGAGAGAGGAAACATAGCAAGATCTGTCTGTTCAGATTCTTCTAGATGTCTCTGGGTAGCATTTCCCCTGAACCCCACTGTATGGGGCAGAACTCCTCTGGAATGAGGGTCTTCAAGGAAGAAAGGAGAAGGCAGAGAGTAACCTTTCTGGGTTTTATGGTTTGCTTTGAAGAGAGGTTCTAGTTTCTATGACACACCTTAAGTAAGAGAAAAATCCTGGGGTTGGTGTGATGGCTCATGCTTGTAATCCCAACACTTTGGGAGGCTAAGGCAGGAGGATCACTTGAGGCCAATAGTTTAGAACCAGCCGAGCAACATGGTGAGATCCTTTCTCTATTTAAGTATATTTTTTAAAATTAAAGATTAAAAAAAGGAAAGAGGAATTCTGGTTTCTATTACTTGCTTTGAAGCAGAAAGAGGGATGGGAGACAGGAGGTCAGAGAGATTTTTGGTTCTGCGCTGCTTCTGAGGTCTTTCCATTTTCTTTAGTTCAAAGTACTCAGCATACCACAATGCCATACTTTGGGGCATCATTGTCTGAGTTTGCGAAATAGTATAGCAATCAACTCAAAAGTAAAACACAAGGTTCGGTCGACTGGCATTTGAGTAGCCCTGTCCCATGTTTACAAAAGTGTTGGAATTCTAGAATTTTGCCAAAGGATACTCATGTGACAAATGCAGAATCAAGATGACTGGGAATAATTTTCAGTTTGACCTTTCCCTTTTACCACTCCCATCTCTAAAACACACACATTTGGAAAGCAGATTTAGAAATATTCAATGTTTTGTCAGGTTATCTATGCTTAAAAATTTATTTTTAAAGGAAATGTTGTCTATTGAGCCTGAATCACTATGCTCTTCAGGAATTTAGTAAGAAGTAATTGGATGTGAAACAGAAGGTACAGGTGGTTGGGGAGTTCCTGTGACTTCAGGAATGAAGATGAATTTCATTAATTAAAATGAAATACTCAAAGTGGAAATCACACAGGAAATAAATTGTTAGAGGAAATAGAAACTTCTTTGGTAAGAATTAAGTGATTAAGTGACTGAAAATGGTCTATCATATAACCATATAATTATATGGATATTTTTTCTTTGATGAAAGGAAAACTGGTGATTTGGGGACTAAAAATGGGGGAACAGAGTGGGGAGAACAAGCTAGGTATAGGAAGGATTTTTATTCTGCAGCCAAAATCTTCCAATTGATGCCTTATCCTTTTGAAAGAATTATGAGGATTACATTTTCTCTAAAAGATGAAGTTTCAGTACATGATTCATGTCTTTTACTATTCGACTTTTACACTCTAAATTTATTCACTTAATAAAAGCAGCTCTACAGAAGGGTACCTTCAAAAGTATCAGGAGAATTATAAGTAGCAAGAAGATGGGACAAACTGAGAAGAAGCAGGGCAGGGAGGGAACGAGAGGAGCTGAGTGCAGAAAAGAAATTACTTCTTAGTACAGAAACGTCTGTTCACAGAAGAGAAAAAAGCGGGAGGGGCACCAAGCTTACAGAAAGGAAATCAAAGTCAAAATACCATGCCAAGCTAAAGAGAAGGCATGATTCAGAATCCAGGAAACTAAGTCTGGATTTAATGAATTTAATTTTCAAAGATTCAAGTGTGTATCAAGAGACTCCCACAGAAAAAGGCCAGGAAGGGTAACCAGAATTCCAGGCTAGCAGAACTCAGTTCCAATTATGGAGTGCCTGAAAAACACACCATGGGCCAAAAACTCTTCTGGGTTCATAGTGCAGAAGACACAGTCAGAGAGGTAAGTTGGCATGTGTGGGTGTCTAAAGGTTTAAGTGACAGAAGGGACAAACAGGCTAAGGTGTGAGTAGGCGGAGGGGAAGAAAATATCTCTTTTTCTACTCATCTTAGGTTCATGGGTGAGGCCCCTATAAGGCCCTTGGCTCCAAAAAGTTTTGCTGAAAATTATCAACATAAGGCAAATTGATTAATAAAAGAAAAGGCATACAAATTTATTTAACATGTATACAAGAGAGCTTTCAGAATGAAGACCAAAAGATACAGAAGAAATTGTCCATTTTTACGCTTAGGTTTAACAAATTATGGACAGCCATACAGAAACAGGATGGAACAAAAAGAGTAGATTCTAATGTTAGTAGACAGAGCAGAAAACCCGGCAAGCCCTGTATAGATTCTTCTCAGCCTCTCTGAGCAAGCATTCCGTTCTTCTCAGTATGGGGAAGGGCCCTCTCTGGAATGGGATCTTATGACCTACAGTCAAACAAGGTAGGTCAGATAGTTTCTTTATGGCTAGTTTTACATAGAAAGGTGGAGGGAATATTAGAATAATAGTTTTAGGTTTTATGACTAATTTGGGGGAGAAGGGTTCTGGTTCTAAGACCCACCGGAAGGACGAAGGATTCTAGTTTCTATGGCTAGCCTTGGGAAAGAATGGGACTGAGAGATAGCAGGGCAGGAGAAGGTCAGAGAAAAACTTGCCTCTGAGGCTGCTGCTGAGGCCTTCATTTTGGGCTGTTGTTTTCTGATCCACAACATTCCCCATTGTGAAACTTTCCCAAGAAGTTTCATAGTTCAGAAATAGAGTTGCTGGATTGTCTTATAAGCTGTTAAACCAGTTTTTCAGCCCAGAGAATAGGCCAGTCCAGTTAAATAGTTAACAGTGAATCAGGCAGTGCTGTTGTTGATGGGCTTTCCCCAAAGTCAGTCCTCTATGTGATTTGAGCAATTGGATATTTAGTAAGAAGAACTTCTGTGCATATCAAAGAAAAACCAGAGTTAATGGTTAGAACAAACTATAAACTCAGTTTTTTAGTCCAGAGGTCAGCCAGTTGAGAGGATTTTTAGATGTTGAGCTTGAAGCATGTTCAGATGAAGTCAGAGAAGATAGTGGCAATCTAGTTTGCAGTTTACATCAGATATTCCAGGAAACTTTCTGTGCAGTCAATACATCAACAAGCATGAAGACTGTTCAGATATTTAGTTGCTATAGTGATTTCTCTTAAAATTTATATCAAGTTGTCTAGCTTCAGCTCGTGGGGCTTTAGGAAAAAGCAGTTTTAATTTCAGTGATTCCAAGTCAGACATATGGGGAAAAATGAGAAATATTAGGTATAGACTTGTAACTACAGGAGAGTTCAGGATTGAGTCCAAATTGTAGATAAACAATAAAAACTGAAAAGCAATAGATGAGGGTATAATCTAATAATAGCTGTACTATAGTTTTTTTCTGAAACATAATTTCTTTCTCTCTGGTTTCCCATTTTTACTAAGGATGAATCACAATACAACCAATTTATTTGTAAAACAAGTTTTACTCTTATTATACTTGGCCTGATGATTTGCATAAAGTGCAGCAAGAATAGTGATTGGTCATATAGGCTCCTTTAAATTGGCTTTGCTGAAACTTTTAAAATATGAAACCTCAAATTAGACTTTTAAAAGACCCTCTAGGTCAGCCAAGCTGATAATTTATTTGTGCCTGCAGATACCCGTATAAATTGGGTAAATTCTTCTCTTCTTGAGTTCCCAAAATAACTTGAGGTTCCTGGGCCGGTCAAGAAAGTGACATTCTTTACTTACCACAGGTCAGAAATTTTGTAAAGAAATTGCTTAGGCAAGGTAAGAGGCCAGTATTTTGAAGGGGTTTTTTATCAGTTCTATTAATTCACTTCAGTTCCTCAAAGCAGTCTGGTCATATGCCACTCCAGTCAAAGCCTTGGTAAAATAACCAGTGTTTCCAATTGTGTCCTGTTACAAAAGAAAACAGATTCTTATTGAATTTATGCAAATAACTATATTGCCTTAAATTAAGAATACTCACAAATCATTTCAAATTCTGGAGAAATCTGGTAGAGAGAAAGAAAAATGCTTTCATTTTGCTTGCAAAAGTATATTTTACCCAATTTGTTGTAAGTTATAAATAGCTTCAAAGAAAAAAAAGTTCTCTTTACCCTGGAAAACCAAACATTAATAGAATCAGCAATGTTTCTAACAAAAAAAGTCATTAAATTTATTTCAGACAATATGAATAATCATACCACAAAGTACCAAAAGGTATACCAGAGTCACTACACCAAGACCAGTCATATGCAAATGTTTTTCTTCCACTAATGAAAACTTTGCAGAGGAGACAAGTGGTCATTTTCATTGGCTGCCCAACCAGATTATACATAGAGAAAGGCTGGGAGTCTGACTGGTAGAAAAATTCTTATCTTTTTGCTGGCTTGTCAGGTTCTTGGGTTCTCATCTTTGTAGCTTCTAGAAGAGCAGAGCAGGTTTGATGATC